>NC_000003.12:194158572-194309572 GCF_000001405.40 Homo sapiens
ATCTAATAGCAAACACTTTTTGCTTGGCTAATAGGCACATAAAGGCAGTTCTCCTTGCCAGACTATCCAGTTTGGGGCTTTGCTGAGAAAACTCACAAACAAAGCTCAGTAAAGCTCAGGGCTCCCCAGACTGCCTAGAGTTCTGTTCATCTTTTTCCTACCTCCTCCCAACACCAAACTTACTGAGCACCTACTGTGTGTTGTGTCTGTGGAAAGACGAATGAGACACTGGGCTGTCACAAGTGTCTCCGGAATTTGAGTGTAAATAATTAAAATAAAATAGGGGCCTTCTGAGGTGATTCAAGCAAAACAAGTGCTTCTTCTTTAAAAGGCTGAGGATTCCAGGTGGCTAGTAGGCAGTGTAGTTGGAGAACTAGAGGATAGGTTAGAAGAGGCTCCAGGGCTGGGTGTGATTGAAAGAGGGTGGGCAGAGCCATGCCAGGTCTGACTGGTTTCATGTGCTAATGAGTCACAGTCACCAATCAGTCTTCATCCAGGAAAAGCTGCCTCTTTAAATCCCCTGGAGGGGACCAGGTGGAGCCAGGAGAACCTGACCTGGAGATGGGCCCTGCTCCAACCCACTGTGACCTTGGCAATGTCACTCGCCCTCATTTAAAAATGGGAGCGTGGGATCATATGGTTCCTCCAGCTTGAGACCAGAGTCCTCTGAACTGCTGTCCCTGGATGCCTGCCCCTTGAATGGGGGTCAGGCTGTGCATACATTGTGAACTATGGAACCATTTATGCCAGATACTGCAGTTAGAAGCTGAGGCTTATGTTCATGAGTCACAGGCATATATGTTCTGTCCCAAGACACAGAACCCCTTTAAGCCTCTACCATTTATCCACCCGTGTCCCCAGTCTCTGCCCAGTCCTGAGTCCTACCTCTTTTGTCTCCTCCCTGACTGGTTCATGTTTTAATCATTCATTCAGTGAACACCTTTAGCACCTACTGTATACTAGGCCCTATATTGGGTACCAAGCCCTATTCCTGAACCCAGTCTGGGGTGAAGTTTCTAAGTGGAGAGGGAGAAAGAAAAGGCAGGCAGGGGTCCCAGAGACTGTGCCATTCCATGCGGTCAGGTCTGTCCAGGAATATGACATTCAGCTACCACCCTAAAGACAGCTCTCCAGGCCGGGTGCAGTGGCTCACACCTGTAATCCCAGTACTTTGGGAGGCCGAAGCAGGCAAATCACTTGAGTCCAGGAGTTCTAGACGAACCTGGGCAACATGGGGAAACTCCATCTCTACAAAAATACAAAAAAATGAGCAATTAGCTGGGCCTGGTGGCACGCACCTGTATTCCCAGCTACTCGGGAGGCTGAGGTGGGCAGATTGCTTGAGCCCAGGCTGCAGTGAGCCAAGATCGCGCCACTGCACTCTAGCCTGGGTGACAGAGCGAGGCCCTGTCTCAAAACACAAAAGAGACAGCTCTCCAGCTCTGGAGATAGGAAGGCCCTATTCCACTATGTGTGGATCCCTCTGCAGCTGCCACCCACTTTCTGGATTTTCTCCAGATTTCCTAGAGTGAGGAAGGAGGGGAGTTTCTGTGCAGGAGTGCCCTGTCACGTCTCAGCTTCAGTCTTTTGAAATTAAATTTGTGATTCCTCACCCCTTACATCTCCCCCTGGCCTGGCTCACAGGAGTGCCCTCCCTTCCCTGTCCAGGTAAAACATCTTCAGCCACTCTGGCCACCTTATACTCAAGTACATTTGGGTGCATGGGGCCCTCTGAGGAGGCAAATGACCTCTGGAGTGGAAGGGCCAGTGTGATCAGGACAAGTGGAGGCGGCACTGGCTGACCCGCTGAGGACTGAAACCACAGCAGAAAGCTGCACTGGGACGGGGAGAAGGTTTGGGGTGTGTTGGAGGGAGGCCCCTGGCAGACTCAGACAGTAGCTGAGTGATCTGGGCTTCAGGATTCAGGTTTACCTGACAGCGACAGGTAACCTGTTCTCTGCACCTCCAAGCACCTCCTGCCCCTCACTATGGCTCTCTGTACTTGCTATGAACTGGGAGAGGCAGTTCTGGAATCTAACCCATGCTCCAGGGAGGTAAGGCGAGCTCTCCGGGCCACTGACAGAGCAAGCCAGGCCCTCACTTCTGCTGGAGTGAGGCGCTCCCGCCATCCCCGGCCTGTCCTGGAGAGTGATGCCTCCCTCTGGGGTGCTGGCCTTTGCCTTCAGTCCTTGGGGAGGCCACATCTTACCCACATTTTTCTTTGACCTGAAGACTGTTCATGTCCATAATTAAGGGGGTGATGAAGGCAGGGAAAGGCAAAGTGGAACAGGGATCCCAGAGCGTCCCAAAGCTGTTACAACCTCTGAACAAAAGAAGAAGAAAGTTATCTCTGAGCTAGGGTGAGGAGAATTGGTCAAAGGTTAAAGGCAGAGATGAATTAAGGTGAGTGTGTAGCAGTGGGTGTGGAGAGAATGAGACTGATTTACAGTCTTTTGAGGGCAAAAAGTTAGAATCTTTTCTGTCTTCAAAGCCTGATCCCAGGGCTCAGCCTGAGTATCTCTCTCTCTCTCTCTCCACCTCCCTCTCCACCCCCCACCCCATACTCCTTTCTCTCCTTCTCCATTTGCCAAGCTTCTCAGGACCTGGCATTTACTTCTGCCAAGCTGTAGGTCTTCCTCCCCACTCCAGGAATTTCACAAATAAATCCCTGAGAACAGAGCCTGCCTCACAACAAACAGCACATGGGTTTCTGCTCAGCCTCTGTGGCCTTGGACCAGCTTCTGGGAAAGAGCCCCTGCCTGGCTACAGGCGCAAACACAGCCCTGCCTTTCACAAACATTCAGTGGTGAGAAGCAGTAGGGAGGAACCCCAAGCCCCCAGGTGAAGGAGCTGCGCCCAGGCACGCACGGTAAGATCAGGCTGTGCCGGGGCCACGGCTGCCCCCGGCTGAGCTGGGATCCAAGGCACAAGGCTTCTCCCTCAGGGGACTAGCCACTCAACTCAGCGACGTTGATAAAGTTATTTTAGCCTCCCTAGACTTCCCTTTCCCTGTTTTTACATAGATCAGAGGTTTATGCTGCTTAATTCACAAAGAAACTACAAAGAAAAAAACTGATTTGTTTTGAAGCATTCTGTCTTCCTGAGAGGAACGCAGGTTCTAGCAAACTCCTTGAACAGACACGGATACATATGGACACACATTCATGATGTATTGACCTGTCCACACACTCACACTGCCCCATTCATGGGTTCAGCTGCAGCTCTCCAGGTATAGGGACATTGGTGCACTGCAGTGTCCCCTGCTGTGTGGTGCTTGGAGCAAAGCTAATGCTCAATAAATATCCACCGAATGAGTGTACTTGACAGTATGTGTGGGCATCCTCTCCTTATGCCAGTCACTGTGCTCGGGGTTGGGGGACAGCCCTGCCCGCTAGTTGCTCACAGTCCAGGAGGGAGACTTGCACGTACACTCACACAGCCAATGTAGAGTATTAATGGGCACCAGGACAGAAAAGAAAGGGGAGGTCAGAGCAGCTCAGAGTGGGGAGATCCCGGCTCTGTCCCATGGTTTGGGGGTTTGGGGGACACCTGGGGAGGATGTCAAGGGGAAATACCTCAGAGCACTGAAGGAAGAGGGAGATGAGGTGGCTGCAGATGTCTTCCAGCAGAGGGAAAGCATGTTCCAAAGCCCTGAAGTGACACAGTAGAGTCAGGAGACCAGGAACTGCTTCTGGTGGCTGGACCGTAAAGAAGGAGGCAGCATAGTGAGACCCCATCTCTATAATCAAATAAAAATAGCCAGGCATAGTGGCACATGCTTCCCACTAGTCCCAGCTATCCAGGAGGCTGAGGCGGGAAGATCATTTGAGCCCAGGAGTTCAAGGCTGCAGTGAGCTAGGATCGTCCCCCTGCACGCCAGCCTGGGTGACAGAGCAAGACTTTGCCTCTAAAAATAGTGGGAAGGGCTAGGCGGTGAGTTGTGGGGCCGCAGGCTGGGTGAGGAGTGCTGAGTCTGCAGACGGTGCGTGCCTACTTTCAACAATCGCTATCCTTCCCTCCAGCATTCCTCTTAGACTCTTAAAATGTGCAGCTTGAGTATCTTTTATCCTAAATGCTTGGGACCAGAAGTGTTGTGGATTTCACATTTTTTCAGAATTTGGAATATCTGCATTATGCTTACAGTTGATTATTCCTAATTCAAAAATCAGAAATCCAAAATGTTCCAATGATATTTCCTTTGAGAGTTATGTTGGTGCTCAGAATGTTTTAGATTTTGGAGCATTTCAGATTTGAAATTTTTGGATTCAGGATACTCAACCTGTCATAGTTTTACTTTTCTCTCTGCTGATTGAGAAACTATATATGCATAGAAGAGCTTACAGCCCTCTCCCAGCAACTCAGAGACAACCCACTTCTGACGTCAGTCTTCACACTGGGGTGCATCAGTTGGAAAGCATTACTTAGGTGACCATAAAATTTATTATGTAACTGGTTCACTTTAGGGAGTGAAAGGGGTTATTACCAATAATTAAACCCTGGGGAAAAAAACAAGAACCAGGACTATTCTGGGCAAACCAGGATATATGATCACTCTAGGTAAAGATATTGGGTTGAGGCCGGGCACAGTTGGCTCATGCCTGTAATCCCAGCACTTTCGGAGGCTGAGGCAGGAGGATCACTTGAGCCCAGGTGTTCAAGAACAGCCTGGGCAACATGGTAAAACCCCATCTCCACAAAAAAATACAAAGATTAGCCGAGTGTAGTGGTGTGCGCCTATAGTCCCAGCTACTGGAGAAGCTGAGGCAGGAGAATTGCTTGACCCCAGGAGGTTAAGGCCGCAGTGAGCCATGATCATGCCACTGCATTCTAGCCTGGGCAACAGAGAAAGACCCTATCTCAAAAAAATAAAATAAAATGAAAAGATTTGGGGTTTCCATGAAAGGATTGTATAGAGGTAAGTGGTGTCATCAGATTCACATTATTGGAATTGAGCTACCCCCTCTCACCCTAACTTCTTCATAGAACAGTGAGTGTAAGAGGACAGGATGGTTTGGATGGTCTCTTGAGGCTCTTCCCAGCTTCAGCCTCTTCTATAAATCTCTGTTTGGTAGGCATTTGAACGGCGAAAAGGGTTGAATAAAATGTAACCTCAAGGAAGTTTTGGGGGCAAACTGCAATTTAACCTAAACCGTGAAGATGCATACCAATATCCTGTGTTTTTAGCTGAAACCCTATAAAAGTGCCCAAGAAAAACATTCCCAAGGAACCTCTGCTCATCCACCCAACCAGGAAGGGAAAGGCGATGCCCGTGAAAACATTCCATTGAAATTAAAGCCCTGCTGCCAGTCAGCCTCTCCCACAAGTCCTAGCCCTCCCTTCATCTCTTCCTCCCTCCTCCCTTTCCTCCTCCTGACTCCAAGAGCAAGCAGGTAGGAGATTGGGTCGGTAAACGCATGTGAGCATTCAGTAGTTTAGTTAGTGCCATCATTTCAACTCCTGCAGCAACCCCCTCCCTCTTAAGTAAAAACCTCATGGCTGTCTAGTGCCTTGAGAATTAAGCACAAACTCTTCAACCTCTATTTCAAGATCTTTTGCTTTATCTCCATTTTATTCCTTATGCACCCTTTCTTACAACTTAATTGGAATTCTTGCTAAACAAACTTTACATATTCTCTCTAGGTGCTTACTCAGGTTCTATCTACTCCTGACTTATCTAAATTGTACCAATAAATTTCATCTCTTCCATAAAATGTGGCTTTCCTCCTTTCAGTCTTCTTTTCTTCCAAGTTACTCAAACACTTGTCTTTCAAGATACTGCACTTCTAAATAAAGGTATAATTAATAGTGCTGGTATTTGTCTCTGAATCGTCTTGCTAAGGAACTGAACACTGGTGTGGTTTAAAATACAGCCTTGTAAAGGGCGTCTGCATTAAGTTCAGCATCAATATAGTGAACTTCTGGGAGAGGGGGACCACCAGGTCGCCCTAGGAGAGGTGAATCTGCCCAGATTGGAAATGGAGAGATCAAAACGTTCATGCTGATCAGTAGCGAGATTGTTCCTGTGAATAGCCACTGCACTCCAGCCTGGGCAACATAGCAAACCCCATCCCTTAAAAAAAATTAAGACCTTCTCTTCAAAAGACACTGCCTTGAGAATAAAAAACTTTGGAGAAAAAGAAAATAAATGGAGAAAATATTAGCAAATCACAAATCTGATAAGGGAATTGTATCCGGATTATATGAAGAACTTGCAAACTCAATAATAAAAAAAGCAAACCAATTAAAAAATGGACAAAAGATTTCAACAGACCCTTCATCCCAAAATAATATGATGGCAAATAAGCACATGAAAAGATGTATACCATTGGTCATTTGGAAAATGCAATTGAAATCATAATGAGATACGAACCCACCACACACACACACCAGACTGTTTAAAACTGAAAAGACTAACCATGCCAAGCATTGGCAAAGATGTGAAGTAACTAGAATTCTCACATACCGCCGGTTGGAATATAAAATGGTACAAACTATTTCAAGAAATGATTTCTGAAGAAGTTAAACATATGCCTAACATGTGATCCAGCCGTTTCATTCATAGGTATTTACCCAAGAGAACTGAAAGCATATGTCGATACAAAAGACTTGTACATAAAATATTCAAGGCAGCTTTATTTGTAACAGTCAAAAACTGGAACAATGCAAATGTCTATCAATAAGTGAATGGATAAACAAAGTGTGATATTATCCATCCGATGGATTACTATGTAGGAATACAATGAAATAAACTACAGATAAATGCAACAACATGGATGGATCTCAAAATAATTATGCTCAGTAAAAAAGGCCAGAAAAAGAAGAATATGTCCTCTATGACTCCGTTCTTTTACAATTCTCCAAAATGCAAACTAATCTACAATGACATAAGGCAAATTAGCTGTTGCCTAGAGACTGGGGGAGGGAAGATAGGGTGCCAGAGAGGCAGAAAGGATCCTAAAGGGATGTGAGGAAACTTTTGAGGGAAGGGATATATCCACTGTTTTGATTGTGGTGAGGGTTTTACAGTTGTACACATAGGCCAAACTTATCACTTGCATACTTTATGTGCAGTTTATTTCATGCCAATCACACCTCAATAAAATTTAATATTAAAAAATAGATGTAGTATGTCATCTAGGAGCTCAGAGTCATGGTCTCGCTAAAGAGACGCTACTCAAAGAGAAAGAGAAGGGTTTTTGTCTGCATGTTTGTTTTGTTTCAACATCATCTAGCCCAGCATTGCCCACAATCGTCACTCAACATCCGGCCCGACTAACTTACAAGGCACTGCTGTCCTTACAAGTGTCCACACCTGCCATTTGATCATCTGGGTGAGAGGAGGGGGTCAATATCTATCTAAGTCTAATTTCCTGAGGCTTGTATCAGTTGCTTCTGAACTGTAAGTGGCCCTTTGGGGTAGAATTGAAAGACTGGTCCACAGGACCTTAGAGCTAGAGGAGTCCTAGGGGTCTTCTGGTCCCACCTCCATCCAGTGCAGCATTTAATCCACTGTACCTTGGAGTAACCTCCATCTAGTCTCTGACAATGTCTCCTGGGAAACTCCTAGTATTCACCAAAAGTCAAGAAACTAGCTGCATTCCAATGGGAAGAAGCCAGGGTAGGAGAAGAGGAAGTAAGAGAGCTGTCCCTGAAACCCACCAGGATCTTTATCCCTCCTTTCAATGAGGTTCCTTAGGAATCTCACAGTGGGAGGAAATCAATATCTTTCAATAGACCAGTGCATTTCCTTTGACCTGTGAAGGAGGGCTGGGGAGAAGGGGAAATGAAAGGATTTGATAAATGAGACACATTTGCCAACAGATTCTTTTTTAAAAAAAAAAAGAAAAAAAAAAAGCACTTCTGACTGGTTGGGCTAATTCAGTTTGGTTGGAGTGGTGTGTATGTTAGCTCTGACATACTTTGGGAACATCTTTTAATGTTTCATTGCCTTTGCTTTCATAATTGTGTGCATTTAGGACCAAGAGCCTGGGTTTCTTCCTTCTGATTAGCAACAAGATTCCTCACAGCTTTAGGGGTCTAGGGAAAGAAAATAAAAAAAGCCCTGCATAGCCAGACCAGGACTGTATCCTTTCTGCTGCTCCTTCACACCTTTTCAAGCTTGGTGATTTCAGCTACTTCTCCAAATGTAATAATCTTTTAAACTGTCTACATTCAATCTGTTCCCAGGCAGGAGCTTAAACTACCCGCCCGCTCGCCCGCCCCCCGCTTTGGAAGTTTATCGGACAGATCTACAGAGGCTTTTCAGGGAGGATGTTTACAAAGGACTTTTAGTGTTGCCAAGAAAAGAGAGAGAAGGGGAATGATGGGATTTCTGTAGGGCAGTTTCAGAGGTAGTGAGATTTTAACATAAAAAGGACCTTTCTTTACCTCCTAACACGTCCAAAGGCAGATGGCAACAGGGGCCAACAGCGTCCTTGTGGGCGGGGTCCCTCCTAATCACTGGAGCCAGTGGAGTTTTCCTGTTACGTTAGAGTCTTGGGCTCACTTATTACAGCTGGAACCATCCCAGAGATGAGAGCCTGTAGCTCCACGCTGCCCCACTCCTCTGCTTCCTGTAGAGTCCCTTTCTCTCATGGGGAAGGGAAGGAGCTTCTTAAAACGTAATGCTGTGCTTCATAACACTCGTAGCTATAATACATAACTGCTGCAATAACCATGTAAGAAAAAATGTGTTTTCTTTGGGGAGGGGGAAATTCTAGAACATGCCAATCACCACATCTAATAAATCATGTGACGAAAGCACAGGGCATTTTGAATATAAGTTCGGTAATATCAGAATGATTTTGAAGTTGTGTGTCTGTTAAGGTGTTTACAACTCCGAAAGTCCTAATTGTAATAAATTTAAATGCATTTGGTATTTGGTTTATTAAGCTTGGATTCATTATGTGAGACATTTCCCCCCCGTATTCAAACATACATCAATACAGAGCTAGCTCTGGAGAACAACTTTACTTAACAAATCACTTTAGAAGCTTTTTTTTTTTAAACATCCCAGAAAAATACTGCTGCAGCCAGACTTGGGAAACAATTTTTTTTTCTGATAAGGATGACATCATTTTATCCTAGTAAAAGCTGAGTTTTCATCATCATAATTAAGCAGGAGAGAAATGATTCCCCGTGAACTGCATGACAAGCTGTGTAACTGTAGTTAATTTTAATGAACAAGCTCCATTTTTGAATTGTTAATCTCCATTTCTTTCATTTTAGTCAAGACTAAAACTTAATGAATTTCAACAATGAGTTTCCCCCTCCCCTTTCAATGAACTCTTACATTTCAAGTACCTTAGAGAGGAGAAAATGAATTTATCTCATTTTTTTGAAGCTGAAGTC
Source organism: Homo sapiens (assembly GCF_000001405.40). NCBI lineage: Eukaryota > Metazoa > Chordata > Mammalia > Primates > Hominidae > Homo > Homo sapiens. Next base: position 194,167,924 of record NC_000003.12, read on the forward strand.
TTCAATTGTAAGAAGAAAGACTCTTCATTCATGGCAGCGTCTCTGTGTGATGAAAAAGAAAAATCTAAAAGAGACCTTCTAAAGAAAGTCCACTGCAAAGTGAGTGGGAGGTAGAGCTGTGTGTTGGGAGGAAGGGGAAGAGGTTGACGTTCAGCCGGAAATTTCTACAGGGGTTCAATACATAGGGAAGCCTTCAAGTTATGTAATATATTAGCATGAAGAAATCCTGGGCACCAAGTTTTATATTTCATGGCACTGTTGTCAGCAGAACAAACACACACATTTTTTTTTTGTTTTAATAAACAATTTTTAGAGCAGTTTTAGTCTCACTGTATTGTGTGTGTTTTTTTTAAAGAAGAAAAAACATGTGTCTCAACACATTGCCAAGAAAGAGCTTCCAGAACAAAGAGCAGCAGTAAGATAATTATTGAATATCAAACAAAATCCTGGAGCAGGCTTAACTGACCAGGTTACTTCCACCCACCACTGGGTGGTAGCATGACTGAAACCTTCATTCCCAGGTAAATCCTCAAATCTCCCCCATTCTCCGCAGGTCACTGATGTCCCTGTTTGGGGTGTGTGTGTGTGTGTGTGTGTGTGTGTGTGTGTGTGTGTGAGTGTGAGTGTGTGTGTGTCTTTTGAATCACTAGAATGCTGTCCCGATTGAATGTGATCTGCAGCCATCATGACAGAAGGTATTGTTCTGACCTTTTCAATCAACAGTTTTCAATCTAGGGCACACAGAGGTGGCTTAGACGGAGGTCACCACAGGGCATGTGGCCTGAACTATGGTCCTAGGCTTGAGTTTTAGGACACCACAGGATATGCATAATCAGCAAAAGGAAATGAAATGAAAGTTTCCCTGTTAAACTTCAATCATGCACGTACGTCCTCTCCACAGCCCCACTGCAAAGGAAAAATTTAGGGTCGCCTGGTGTAGAGGGTCCCAACCTTCACTGCCTAGAACCCTTCTGGGCTACAAGTTTTAAAAGATCTTTGCCCACCAATAGGTTACTTTTATTAAATAATAATTCCATTTCTCATTTTTCATTAATCACAACTAGTCCCAACAGCAGCTACCTTTTATCGAAGGCTCACCGTAGACCTACCCCAACAGCACCCTGAGGTTCAGATTCTTGTCCTTACTTTACAGGTGAAAGCATCGAAGTTCACAGAGATCAAGTAGTTCCATCAAAGCCACTCTGCTAGGAAGCAGATGAGCACAGGCTTGACCCCAGATCTGTCTGCTGTCAAAACCCAGGCAATGAATCACAGTTCTATTTGGCCAGGCAGACCTTCTTGTTTGCATGAGGTAGTCCCCAGGGTTACCACACAGCCAAAAGCAAAGCAAGGAGGCATCTTCATCAGACTGTGCCACCCATATCCAGGCAAATGAAGGATTGCCATGAAGCTTTTTGAAATATTGAAAATTGCTCATAGACCCATTCTCTTTCTGTGGGTTCAGAGATAGATAATTGCTCGCTATAGCCCAGTCTCTCACTTACAAGACAAGGACACAGAGAACAGGGCTCCCAGCCCTCCTCCACCGTTAGAGACCCTTGGGAAAGGAGAAATCGTAGCTGGGCTTAGGGAAGACATTGCTCTATTCTTTACTTTTCTCCAATGCGAAATTACTTTCCCTGGAATTCTATTCCTCACTGCCTGAGAAGTAAAGGCTTCAGCCTCAACTAACAAATATCAGAGAATTATGTTTTTTTAAAAATGTCTTCGGTTGAATGATGTTACCAGTATGTGACCTGACGTCTCCAAGATTTTGGAGATCCCACATGCTGACCGCTTCTGGCCACTCCAAAACAATCTGGGAACAAAATCTGCCGGCCAAGCAATACAAAGAGCAAGCTGGGTCATCCGTCATCAGCAGACACCCTGACGCGTGCTCCCTCACACTGCAGAGGTGGGGGTGGCCTGGAAGAAGGGGTGCATTTCAACAGATCTTACTGGGATCGAAAACATAAATTAGTACTCAATCGGCTTTGAGATAAGTCCATTTTGAAAATAACATTTGAGAAGCACCGTGAACCCAGCTTCTCTCTTGGCTGAAAGGGCCCAGGAGCTCAAATTTCTGTTGACTGTGAAAGGCTGGGGGCTGCCCGGAGCCTATTTGTCTCTGTGCCCCCACGGTGCCTAATGTACAACTTGGCAGACTGCAGTATTAAGGAAATACTGGCTTTATTACTAAAAATAAAGCCCAGAAACTCCAGGGTTGGCAAGGCGGAGGGATGGGGGTTTGGGGAGGACACTGGGAGAACCCTCTTTCTGTATCTAGGATCCCCTTCTCCTGGGAGTCTTCTGAAGCCCACCACTCCCACCTTCATGGTGGTCTCAGGGAAGGGTGATACTTCCTCTTACAGGCTGGCTCCAGTGACCTTCCAGGTGCGGTCTGGAGCCTGCTGAGGGGAGGCAAGCATATTTAAAAAAAAAAAAGATTCCAGCAAGGAAATAAGAAGCCACAGAGGGAGGCGACTGAGAGACCCAGTGAATGTTGACAAGCTGGCTTTAAAATGGGGCTTACTTGTCATCCACCATGGGGCACCATGAACCTTGAGAAGCTGGCTTTAAAATGGGGCTTACTTGTCATCCACCGTGGGGCACCATGAACCTTGAGAAGCTGGCTTTAAAATGGGGCTTACAGATGATCCGCTGTGGGGCACCATGGGCCCTTTCACTGCCTCTGTGTGGAAGAGGACATATCTCACCCATATCCCCCAGCAGGGCTACCTTAGACCCCTACAGTTCTTCATGCCCGCTGGCCAAAGACACCCCTCACAAGTGATTCAGAAATTCTACAAACATGACAGTAAGCCTATATTTTTATAATACAGTTAGAAATGTTTTTTAAAAGGAAACAAGAAATAATATGCATGCTAATTGAATTATATTGCATTATTAAGACATGAGAAACCAATACCCTAGAAATCTATAACTCATTTTAGGGCTGACTTCAGAGCAAAAAGTTTATTCTCTCCATATACTTGAGAAGCGCCCTGGACTGCAATGCTACCCTCAGATAACTTTCTATTTGCAACCTGGAAAGGAAGCAACAAAACAAATGCAGATGTTTATCAGATGCAGAGGCTGATAAGATAGCAACTATCTCCCACTTCTACAATTTCAAAATGTCGTTAGTCAAAACAAACAACCTCCTGTTGAAATGTTAATAAATGTTATAAATTTGAACATACAAAATAAAGTTATGCCAGCTAAATATCACTTATATATATATATATTTATAGAGTTCCACATTAAACTTCATTTTTCCAAAAGACTTCTGTGTCTGAAAGTTCAAAAGCCCCTCTCTAGATTATTAAAGAGAGGTTGAGCCTTTTCACCTGTTCCCCAGCACCCTGAAACCTACCTACCTACAGATGTGTCCTCACCCTCGTAGCATGGTATAGGAAAATGCATTTCAATGCAGTTTGACCCAGGAGATACAGTCTTGTGCCATGTAAGTGACAGTGGTCTCACAGGATTATGATAGAGCTGCCCTATACAGGCCCATCTTAATCCTTTAGACTGCACTTTTACTGTACTATTTTTGTGTTTAAATATGTTTAGATACACAAATACTTACCACTGTGTTACAACAGCCTACAGTACTCAATACGGTAACATACTATACAGATTTGTAGCCTAGGAGCAATAGGCTAGATCACATAGCCTACAAGTGTGGTAAGTTGTACCATCTAGGTTTGTGTAAGTACACTCTGTGACGTTCACACAACAATGGAATTGCCTAAGCACGCATTTCACAGAACGTGTCCTCGTTGTGAAGCATTGAATGAGTGTTTTTGAGCTGAAGCTTTGTTGGGTAGGAAGGGGAAAAGGGAGATGGAGGCCAATACAATGAACATCTCAGTTCATGCTCACTGAGCCCTTTGTTGACTCCCCACTTCTCTCCCTTATGATAATTTTCTTGGGTTTGAAGAACCATTATCCACCTTCTAAAGCCAAACAGTGTTATGAGTTGAGTCAAATATACACCTACAAACACTGAGGGAGGACAGTCTTTGGAAGCGCTTTGAAGAATCATCTTCTTATGCACAGCAGCCCTACTGACTGCTCGGATTACTGGTCAGCACGCCTGCACATCAGGGCCTAAGTCTATTTGGGCTGCTATAACCAAATGCCCCAGAGCAGGTGACATGTCAATAACACAAACTGATTTCTCACAATTCTTGAGGCTGGGAAGTCCAAGATCAAGGCACCATCAGATTCAGTGTCTGGGAAGGGCCTGCTTTCTAGTTCATAGATGGTACCTTCTCACTGTGTCTGCCCCGTCCATCAGAAAAATTCCCAAGAAATAGTGGAAAAAGAGAACTCTGATCTCTTCAGCCTTTTATAACAGCACAAATCCCTTCCAAAGACCCCACCTCCTAATGCCATCATATCACAGTGGCAATTAAGTGTCAACATACAAATTTGGGAGGGGCACAAACATCCAGCCCATAACAGGGCCAAAGGGCCCTTCTGAACAACTGTACCAACCCTGTCAGCAGTGGCAAATCCAACAGGCTTACAGCAAACTTGATTCTCGCCTCCCCGGAGGAAAGAATTCATCTAAGGGGCACAAGGGAGAGGGAGAGACCATGACAAGTTTTAGACCAGGAGTGAAAATTTATTAAAAAGTTTTAAAGCAGGAATGAAAGGAAGTAGAGTACACTTGGAAGAGAGTCACGTCAGTGACTTGAAAGTTCCAAGCACAGTGCTTGGCCCTTGACTTGGGGTTTTATACGTTGGCATGGTTCTGGGGGCTACATCTCTTCTCCCCTGATTCTTCCCTTGGGGTGGGCTGTCCACATGCACAGTGTCTGCCAGCACTTGGCAGGGGTGGCATGTGCAGTGGGTTTATTGAAGTTGTGTGTGTGCTCACTTAAGGTGTTTTTCCCTTACCAGTCAAGCGTTCCTAGAGGAAGGTCATATACCAGTTAAACTCCGCCATTGTGCCTCTTAGTGCGCAAGCTAGGGCCCACTCACACAACTCCGGAGATCTTATCCGGAAGCTGCTGTTCATCAGCCTCAGGTATTTTCTATCTATTGGGAGACTGCCTTTCCCTGGTGCTGGCTGTGGACAATTATTATTTTTGAGAGTTTAAGAACCACCTCATCGTCACCTGATAGTCACCTGACATTCCTGGGGGTGGAGGGGGGGCCTGTCCTGCCCTGCTCATGTCTGCCTAACTACCTACTCTAACAACCCCACAATTACATATAAGGACACTGAGGCCATGAGAGGGGAAGTGACTTACCCAAGGTCACACCACACATGACCCTTTGGCACCGTGTTTCCTATTCCTCCCATAATGCCTCACATTGTCACTTGTGATGAGGGTCAGCTCTGAGGTGACATAGTTAACCTTCATTCTGAAAGATATTAGGAGTGATTTATATTTTTGAATGTGGCTAATGGTAGAAATAAAATGATAATGAGAAAGCAACACATACTTTCAACGTGACTGCTCACCAGAGCTAACATTAAGCCTGATTTGATCGTACCCATTAGAGATTTCAGCTGAACATTATGAGGATATTTCTTGGGAATTTATCTGATGGATGTGGCAGGATCAGCTGCTAAGGATAAAGAACCGTCACTGAAATGTCCGACTAGACAAACTTTTTTCAGTTAGAGGTATGAGAGAATTTGTCACGCTACATATAAATCAATTCATTTCTAAAACGAAGCAGCTACTTTTAAAATTATTTTTTACATTGCAAGCTGTTTTACCTTTATTAGCCTGCTTTATCAGTAAAAAGGTGTTTGGGGAAGGTAGATTTTATTTATTAATCATTTCACATGTTGGGTTTTATTAAGGTGAGTCACCTATATGGAGATCTTTAAGTTTGAAAGATGCCAGGGATGGTGGCTCATGCCTGTAATCCCAGCACTTTGGGAGGCCGAGGCGGGCAGATCACTTGAGGTCAGGAGTTCGAGACCAGCCTGGCCAACATGGTGAAACCCTGTCTCTACTAAAAATACAAAAAATTAGCCAGGCGTGGTGGCGGGCGCCTGTAGTCCCAGCTACTCGGGAGGCTAAGGCAGGAGAATGGCATGAACCCAGGAGGCAGAGCTTGCAGTGAGCTGAGATCACACCACTGCACTCCAGCCTGGGAGACAGCGAGACTCTGTCTCAAAAAAAAAAAAAAAAGCTTGAAAGACACCTCAGAGATCATCTGGTCCAACCTCTTTATTTTCCAAATGAGGTGGCTGTGATTCAGAGAGGGAAAGTGACAATTCCAAGGTCACACAGCAAGCAACATCAGAGCCAGGACTATGACAACTTCTCCAGACTAGGTCAAGGCTTTGTTTGATTAACAGCCAATAGAGCTCCCTGTGCTGTAAGTTATAGGAACAAGACCACAGTATTGAAAATACAAAGGAACACAGTCCACTTTCTTTATGAATCTTTTTTTCTTATAAAAATAAAATATTTTCACTTACCCAATTTCAAAAAATTTTTAAATAGCTTATACTAAGACAATGTGTACAGCCACAGTACATCCCAGTGTTTTGGGAGGCCAAGGAGGGAGGATGGCTTGAGGGCAGGACTTCAAGACAAACCTGGGCAACATAGCAAGACCCTATCTCTACAAAAAATTTTTAAGAATGAGCTGGGCATGATGATACGTACCTGTAGTCCTAGTTACTCAGGCAGCCAACACGAGAGGATCGCTTGAGTCCAAGAGGTTGATGCTGCAGTGAGCCGTGACCACATCACTGCACTTCAGCCTGCACAGCAGAGAGAGACCCTGTCTCTAAAAAAAAGAGCAAAGTAAAAAGACACTTGTAACCAAAACAGAAGAGATGAAGAAAGAAAGCTAGGGGAAATAAGAATGTACATATGATGCATGCACATGTGTATGTGTGTGATCTGTCTGTGAGGGGGTGGCCAAAGAATACATAATTTGGGTAAAATTTAAACCTCTAATAAGAACGGTCACTGAAATTAATTTTTTAATTTTTTTTTTTTTTTCGAGACAGGGCAGGGACTCACTCTGCCATCCAGGCTGGAGTGCAGTGGTGCCATTTTGGCTCACTGCAGCCTCAACCTCCCGGCCTAATGCAACACTCCTGCCTCAGCCTCCCAAGTAGCAGGGACTACAGGTGAATGCCATCATGCCCAGCTAATTTTTTTTTTAAGAGATGGAGTTTCACCATATTGCCCAGGCTGTTCTCAAACTCTTGAGCTCAAGTGATCCACCCACCATGGCGTCCCAAAGTGCTGGGATTATAGGTGTGAGTCACCGTACCCAGCCTGAAATTGATTAAGATCTGAGTTTCCTGGTAATAAAGTTTTCATTTGCTTGTTTATTTCCCCCCCCAAAAAACCCTTCAATTGAGGTTTCTAAATATTCGTTTTTTCTCCCCTCCGATCCCATCGCATTGCCCTATGTCCCAGCCTGAGAAGCATGGAGCAGAATCACAGCACATTGGAGCTGGAAGGCTCCTTAAACACCGCCAAGTGCAGCCCTCCCAGTTGACGGAGGGACACCTGGAGCCCCAGAGAGGAAAGTAGCATGCCACAGTCATAACAGTCCACAAAAAGGGGGTGCTGTAGAGACACCGAACACTTCATGCCCGCGTTTCAGGGATTTCATAGCCGCAGACGGCATCCCTGATCCCCATTGGTCCCATTCTCAAGAACCTTGAGCCTGATGATCTTGGAACTTTTTCCTCCCACGGGGCCTTACCAGGTACAAAGTCTTTTCACCCCTGCTGTGTCGCATGGGACCGCGACTTATCCCTGTGAGGCAAGAAGGCAGAGAAGAAAATTGGGCCTCAGAGAACCGGAGACTCAGCCAAGGTCACAGGGCCAGTCAGCGCTGGTGGTGGGAACTCAGGCTGCTGCAGCCAAGGACACTCCTTCCTCTCCATGCTGGGGGCTCCCTGGGAGCACGGCAGACAGTGAGCAACGAGCCCGTGCACTCCGTCGTCCACCGCAGAAAACGCTGCAAGGATATTGCTGACGGGCCGGGCGCGGGGGCTCACGCCTGTAATCCCAGCACTTTGGGAGGCCGAGGCAGGCGGGTCACGAGGTCGGAAGATCGAGACCATCCTGGCTAACACGATGAAACCCCGTCTCTACTAAAAATACCAAAAATTAGCCGGACATGGTGGTGGGCGCCTGTAGTCCCAGCTACTCGGGAGGCTGAGGCAGGAGAATGGCGTGAACCCGGGAGGCAGAGCTTGCAGTGAGACGAGATCGCGCCACTGCACTCCAGCCTGGGCGACAGAGCAAGACTCCGTGTCAAAAAAAAAAAAAAAGAAAAGAAAAGAAAAGAAAAGATATTGCTGACAGCTGGTTGGGATGACAGCTTCATGGTCAAAGTACCATCTCTTAGACGCATAAAACATCTAGCACAAAGGGATTTAAGTAAAACGGCTGTTTTATAAAGGGATATGTGTTTTAAAAGGGGGAAAAGAGTCAAGAGCTTTGTATTTCAAGTTTTGTGGAGCACCAATGGGTACCTCAACAGGTGACCTGCAAAATCCATGGCAGGCAGAGGCTTCTGGGCATGCGGTTCACAGGGCTCATGATTGAAAGGAATTAAGAGAAACTTCAAAGTGAGATTCACGGGGTCTGGATGAGGTAAGAACTCTTGGAAGCATAGGGAAAAATTAAAGCAATTGTCAAGCATGAAGGGGAAGAAAAGATCACCTCTGCAGTCCACGTTCTACCTCTGGACCTAAGGCTTAAAGTTTAAAATAATAATAATAATAACCTGGCATCTTGTTTTGATTTAAGTATGAAAAGCCGGTGTCTGCAGGCGGCTGCTGAGCTAAGCGCTTTTCCTGCTGGGGCACCGTGGAGCTGTTGTCAGAGGTGCGGGATAACTCGAAGCAGAGCCAGCCCAGCTGGGCGGCCGGACCCCCGTTTGAGTTGCAATGCCGGCAGTTAGAAAAAGTGTCTCCAACTTGTAAACACAGCAAATTTGATCTGGAAGTCATTGAGAAAACATAAACACGGAACCTCACGCAGTCCTGTTTACACTCTTCCAGCCCTGGTGAAAGATGAGCTCCTTATGGAAGGATTTTTTTTTTCCAAAGGCGCTTTTCTTTTTAAAATAAAAATCCCAAGAAGTATGTATTGCCACCAAGACCAAAATCCCAACAGAGACCACGAGTGCATGAACAAGTGTTGCTTCAGCAGGTGACAATCATAGTGTCACATTTATTCGAGTTGTCTTCTGCAGTTGCAGAAACTCTGCTTTATCAAAAATCCATTGTTTTTGAGGTGGAAATTAACATGACTGGAACGGCGTCTAAAACCATATCCTTGGTTGAGAATATGGTTTCATAACTATTTCCTGTTTCCCAAATCCATTCTAAATGTGTAGTAACATGAACCAGGAATTTAGTCCAGTATATCTTCATACGACCAATAAATAAATGGAAGGCACAGATGGAGGAAGGGACTTACTTAAGGTCACAGAGAGCTTGTTAGTGTCAGAGACAAAAATAGGACAGCGATTTCCTGGTTTCTACTAGTTCTTTCAGGACATGTCTCTTCCAGGAATTGCTACTGACACTTTTGCCCAAGGGCGTTTATTAAATAGTGTGTTCTGTGTGGAGCAGGTATGGGCTTTATTTCACAAACTTGGCATGAAAGAAATGCCACATGATTTTTCTTTAAAAAAATTAATTCTGCTGAGGAGTCTCCAGTTCACTGGGTGGGTGAAGAAATTGACTAATTCGGTCATTAGTGACTAGGGCCCATCCTGGAAGCAGCATCACCTACATTGTGCGGTGGAAGGGACCAAGGTGTGGAAGTGGAGCAGCCTTAAGAGAGGCTCTGGTTTTCAGTCCCCACCAGCACAATGACCTCCTCACCATACCCCAGGGCCTCTGCCGGCCAGCAGCTCCTCTGCTCCTGGGCTGTGGCCTCTGCAAGGATAGGGTCAGCAGCCTCTCCCTCCCCAGATTCTGCGTCCACCCCTGCAACCCTGGGAGGGAAGAGAGTAAGGCCTGGGATCCCCGCACTGTTCCTCTCTGAAGTCTGGAAGGACGTCTCCAGCCCACTTTTCCCTCCCTGCACCCAAATCTCCTTCTGTGTCCCAGCCTCTCTCACTGCCTCCTTTCCTGGTTAGCATAATCTTCTCTAAAGCAAGGCCAGAATGTAAGAGAGAAGGGTTTTGAGGAACTCCTGCTTTCCGTCCTATCAAGGAATCCTGAGACAAGGAAACCCAAATACCTAACAATAGAATTCTAAATTAATATCTCAATCAATTACTCTGCCACTTAGATATGCCACCTTGACCACGCAGAATTCAAATTCAAATCCTTTTACAATGAAAACAATAATGCATTTGCACGTCTGACCATCTACAGAGCACATTCGTTCAACTCACCAGCTCCTTTCATCCTCAAACACTGCAAAGTAGGTCTTTGTCACCCCATTTTACAGATGAGGAGACCAAGGATTCATGAAGTGATGAGGTATTTGTAGTGACTTTTTCCTGGTCCTGAGAAGAGGATGGCAAGCCCTGTGTTTCAGATACCCCCTGAACTTGGTCAACCCTCAGTAAATCCACACTTGATCCCACTCCATGATATCTTTTCTCTTTCACTGCTAAACGGCCTGATGAACTTAGCTGAAGCTACCAGATACAACTTTCAACATCCTTCTAGGTGGATCCTCGTTGTTTTTGTTCACTCAGCTTCAAGGTTAAAAAAAACAAGCAAAAAAAAAAAGACCAAAGATCATAAACAATCTTGCTACTTTTCATGCCTCCTCAGCATTTGAAAGTTTTGGCAAAAAACCCAGTGAATGATAAAAAGAATTGTTTACATTCTCGAAGGCAATTTGGTTGAGGTCCTTGTGCCCTGGTGCCAAGACTTCTGAGACTCTCGGTCTCTATTTGTCCCCCGCCTGATTTCTGTCCTGATTGGCACCTACAAAAAAGGCTTTGGCATTCAGTGGCGCCAACTTCCTCATCTCCCTGGAGAAACAGGCTACAAACCCACGAGAGGATCCAATGCATCCAGTCACTCAGCAAACATTCATGGAGAAGCTACTGTGTGCCAGGCATTGTTCCAGGCATGGAGGGATACAGTCACAAACAAAACCAAGTCCCTGCCCTAACGGAACTCCTCAGGGGAGGGGGTGCACATTAAATAACCATAATAAATAATATTTCAGATGATGGTATGTGGTATGAATAAATAATATTTCAGATGATGATATGTGGTATGAAGAAAATACAGCAGGGGAAGGGGGATGCTCTTCAGAAGAACAGCCCCTCCAGGAGTGCTTAGGACGCTGGCTGCAAAAATTCACGCACATTTCTAACGCCACTTCATCTCCCTTTAGTAGTTTTGCGAGCAGGCAGGAAATAGGAAATCGTTGGCATAAGTGTGCCCTGAAAGATGTCAAAGGCTGGATCCATCCACAAAAGCAACTGCAACACTGAGGTTGCCTGGCCTGGAGCAGGCGAGCATGGGGGAAGCAGCTCTGGGTGGGTAGTTGGCAGCCCTGACCTTTGTTTCCCGATCTGCCACCCAGGCTCAGTATGCCCTTCCCCATATCCCTTCACCCGATCTGCCACCCAGGCTCAGTATGCCCTTCCCCACATCCCTTCACCCGATCTGCCACCCAGGCTCAGTATGCCCTTCCCCACATCCCTTCACATCGCTGGATCCTCTGTAAAATGGAATATACAGCAGGTTGAGAGTTTCCTCTTTCCAGCCATCATTTTCTCCTAGCGCCATATTCTCTCAGACTTTTATTCCACATAGTCACTTTATTTTGGGTTTAAGTAGTTAATTTAGAAAAATGTCCCAAAGAGAGGGTTGATAGACCCCAGGAGTTCGAGGCAGTGAGCTATGATCGTGCCACTGCATACCAGTCTGGGTGACAGAGCAAGAGCCCCCCCACCCCCCCCAAAAAAAAAAAAGAAGAAGAGAAAAAAAACAACCTAAAGAATGGCTGGCAGACCTGGTCAAAGAGCTGTCTCGGGAAGAAATGATATATTCCTTCTCCAGCAGAAAGTGAGACCAGCCATCTAGAAACCAGAGCTAAGCCTTTGCACACACTTTATCTGAGAGAGAAAATTTAAAAATACAACCAAGAGAATTTTGGAAAAGAACAATAAAGGGAATCTTGTTTACTTACTTACAGCTTACTAGACAGCTATAGGAAGCTGCATATCATTTTGAACCATATTCCTCTGCTGGTGTGGGAAGAAGAAAATAGATCAATGCACTGAAGTGCTTCCATGACAGCTGGTAAACAGCTACTGCCCTGAACTCTCACAGTGCGTCCTGCTGACCTGGCCACCTTGGTCTCTCCCTTGGGACCCCTGACTCCTCACCCACCAGCTATTAAAGACTAACACCTGGGGGCGGGACGCGGTGGCTCACGCCTGTAATCCCAGCACTTTGGGAGGCCAAGGCAGGCGGATCACAAGGTCAGGAGATTGAGACCATCCTGGCCAACATGGTGAAACCCCGTCTCTACTAAAAATACAAAAAATTAGCCAGGCGTGGTGGCAGGCGCCTGTAGTCCCAGCTACTCAGGAGGCTGAGGCAGGAGAATGGCGTGAACCCGGGAGGCGGAGCTTGCAGTGAGCCGAGATCTAGCCACTGCACTGCAGCCTGGGTGACAGAGCGAGACTCCGTCTCAAAAAAAAAAAAAAAAATTAACACATGGCCCAGCAGGACCTCCTTGGACCCTACTTCAGCACCTCAGGCTGACGGCTAACTTCTGCACTGATCTGCAGACATTGCCCGATATGTGTATTATCTCACCGCTGAGCACCCTCAAACTCTCTTAGTGGTGGTTTGTCCTTTGAGAGTATAATTTGGCAGTTTCTATGAATTTTCAAACTATGCACACCCTTCAGCCCAGGAATTCCACTTCCCATCAGTTTTTCTACGAATATTTACATATGCAAAAGCTGTACAACAATTTTTATTGCAGCAGTTTAATAACAAATAAGGAAGCAACAACAGAAATAAGCTTACAGCCCAAAAATGAAGGCTGGTTAAATAATAGTCTATCCACGGAAGACTGCACCAACAGCCTTCAGTGACCCAGCAATTCACTGGCTTAGTGAATGGAGAAGTCCAGAAGAGAGGGGGTTTCGGGTTCCGTTCCATCAGTCCTCTGCTGTGTTGGTTATTCTCTTAGCTCTCCTCTCCTCTGTGTGCCACCTGCATCCTTTGTTGACCTCTCTCATCTATGGTGGTTCCAGGCCTGTCATCCACACACAGCCCAGCTCAGAGTGAGCGGGAGAGATCTTCTCTCCTACAGCTATTCAGAGACATCCTGGGCCGCAGTGGGATTGGAGCCCTCCTGAGCTCATTGCTGAGGTTTACACCTCCCAGGGCCCTCCCCTAGAGCTGCTGATGAGGTCAATCCCACCCAGATTCCAAGGCTGCTCCCCAAGGCGGAAGGGGCAGAGTGGATGGGTATGGGTCGGGGATGGGGGAGCCACCCAGTTTGGCTGGCCAGTATGGTGACCATGTTCTAGAAAGCCACCCTTAACTCACTGGGGGAAAAGGATGTATGGGGAATAAGAGTGGATGGAAGCAGGAAGACAAGTTAGGAGGCGGTTGCTATGGTGCTGACCAGAAAGGGAGACGGGCAGAGAGTCACAGGGTGCGATCGGCAGGGCTTAGGGCTTGGTCACCACCTAAACTGCATTGGGAGTATTGAGAGGGGTTTCAACAAAGCCAAGACCAGGGTGCAAAATTTAAGGGGATGTCGAAAAACTCAGTAATCAAGATACATAATATTTCAATGCAATATTTTTTAAAATAAAAAGGAATCCAAACATTTATGATGTATGAAATACTAAAAATTCACATAAAGACAGAAACTGTGACTGGGCATTTTCCTTTTTGGCCTCAGTCTCTAAAGTGGCTCGGCACGGCACTCACTGGAGGATGACCAACAGGTTACAAAATTGTGGTGCTTAAAAAAAGTTACTGGGATAAAGAATTGGTTTGAGGTAGAAGTTGGTGGGCTTTCTTTTAGCTGCTACAGGTATGTTCAGGCCTCTTAAACTGCAGCTGAGATCCATTTAGTGTAGGAATAAAAAACAGTTCCTGAGATTGTGTGATCAGAGAGGGAAAAGAGAATTTTCGCTCAACACTGAGACCACCTAATTCACTGTCTTCTCAAAATGCGCTGTAATATTCACTTAGCTTCCCCACATCAAATGGAATGTGGCAGGAGGGAATTCCGGGAAAGAGCCCACTGCATAAGCAATGTAAGTCGTGGATTACACCATCCCAGATCTCCAGCCAGGGGCCTAACCTGAGCTGTGACAGTCATATAATTACACTCTTGTATTCATTAATTCACCAACTTCCCCTCCTACTTCTGCTCTTCTTCTTCCTCCTCCTCTCCCTCCTCCTTCTGCTCTTCCTTCCTCCTCCTCCCCCTGCTCTTCTTCTTCCTCCTGCTCCCCCCTTCTCTTCCTCGTCCTCCTCGCATGCGTCAGGATGCGGAGTTAGGAAATGATGATGATGATATTGGTGAGAAGAAGGGGGAGAACAACAACATGCAGGATGAGAAAAAACAAAAAAGCTGAGAAGGAGAAAGGAAAGAAAAGGAAAAAAAGAAGAGAAAAAAGAGAAGGGAAGAAGAGAAGAAACAGGAAACAGTACTAAGTAGAGTCATTGTTTTTTTAAATTATGAACAAACTATTCTATGTGAATTTTAGAGTCGAAAACTGTTCTCCTCCCCCACTGCAGACTACAGCGACAAACCTAGAGAATGATCACAGATTGAGCAACAACTGTTTTCTTTCTTTTTTGTTTGTTTGTTTGTTTGTTTGAGACAGTCTTGCTCTGTCACCCAGGCTGAAGTGCGGTGGCACGATCTCAGCTCACTGCAACCTCCACCTCCCGGGTTCAAGCAATTGTCCTGCCTCAGCCTCCCGAGTAGCTGGGATTACAGGCACCCACCACCACACTGGGCAAATTTTTATGCTTTTCGTAGAGATGATGTTTTACCGTGTTGGTCAGGCTGGTCTCAAACTCCTGACCTCAAGTGATCCTCCCGCCTTGGCCTCCCAAAGTGCTGAGATTACAGGCGTGAGCCACAGTGCCTGGCCTGTTTTCTTTCTTTTTTAGTGAGGAAAGAGGCATAAGTCTAAGAGATATACCTGCCCTCAGCTGATGCTCCCAACAGGTGCCCTAGCTAGAGGAACAGGAGGTGTTTCCTGTGCAGAGGTGGTGTTTGCATCGAGCCTCACAACTCCACAGCTTGGCTCTATAGATGCTCATTAAGTTCCAGGGAATAAAAATATTATAAAGGTTAGTGGCTAAAGGAAATAACTGCTATCTTTTCTTTAAAAGAAAGAAGAAAAAGCCCACCAGTAATGATATCATTGCTACCTTGAATCTCAAATTTAGGTATAACAATGGGTCTTAGACAAAAGACATGGCCTGGAGGACTGAGCCAGATGGAGCAAGTTGGGCAAGGAACAGAGTTTCTTCCAAGTGAGGCCACTGAACTGTGAATGTGGTCACTAGAAGAGGCAACTTCCCTGTAAATTCAAAGTGTGCTGGCATTCCCATCACTAGGGACCACTCCTGGGCCCTGGAGTCAGAATCACCATGATCAGCAGCCCGTGAGGTGGAACTGCTTTCACCCCGTGGCTAGGAATTGTCCCAGTCCCTCAGTGGGCCAAAGAGGAGACCTTTTCAGGGGAAAGCCCGTGCATTTGTGTCTATGCCTTGTTTTGTAAAGAATCGTTTCAAGTTGAAATTATTTTTAATTAAAACAATAAAACCCCACTGGTATAGTTTTGATGGCACAAGTTTGCACTGACTAGTCTTGAACTGGGAGTCAGGAGGCCCCTTCCACTAATTTATTGGGTGACCTTGGGCAGATGACATCCTCTTTCTGGAGCTCAGTTTTCATATCTATAAATTAGGGATGATATAGATAATATAATGTAGACCCCCTTTGGTTCCCAGATATAGACGCATCAATGTGCTATAAGAGATTCACCAAGCAGGAGAAGGAGGTGGGGACAGTTAAGTACATTTTCTGGGTCAACCTCCTGATTCTGATTCCATAGGTCCAGGAACCTCCAGGCTGCTGCTGATAACCAGCCATTAAGTAATCCCTGGACTTAAATGACCTCTGCAGCCCTTTCTGGCCCAGGAAAGCCGGGGACAATCACTAAAAAAAGATATAACTATAAATTACATCAAAGTCATTTGGGGATAGAGCTTTCTTTGAAATGACGTGTAAAAGGAGGGCAGCGCGGCTCAGAGATTTCAGAAATATTTCAAAAAGTAACACTCCTGATAGGAAATACTATCTACATAAATAAATGAAATGAAAAAGGCCTTTTTTTTCCCTTTAATTTCCCCTCAACTTTAACTCCTTAAATTTCTACAGGAAGGGTAACAGGGGCAGAGAGTGAGGGAAGTCTATCTCCCTGACAATTCCCTAAAGTGATTTATTGTGGAGGTCACAATAGTCCCTGTTTGGACCTGTTACAGTTTGCTAAGCTCCACTAAGCTTAGGTAGTAGGAGATCCTTCATTGGAACACTTGTGTTGAAGGGAGGAGGAGGAGGAGAGGAAGAAGCCGCCACTGCTTTGTTTTTAGCTCTAGAGCTGCCTGAGGCCTGGTCTCAATCCTGGGACACGGTTCTGTTTGTCTTCCTTTTCTATTCAAGTTGCTGATGTTCCAGGCGTTCTCTGCCCCATTGCTCAGTGTTTGTTTATGGCAGCCAAGTAGAAAATTGTAATGTCTGTAATTGTTATTGGTTTGCTGATTGTGTGACCACCTGGTTGGCTGGATTCCGGACAAAGGCAGTAAATCCTGCTTTAAGGCTAAAGCTGTGTACTTTAGGAGGAGGAAGAGGAGAAGGGGAAGTTTGGAGGTCTTTTGTTTGTGTCTGTGCCTTGTTTTGTAAAGAATCATTTCAAGTTGAAATTATTTTAATTGAAACAATAAAACCCTGCTAGTACACTTTTGATGGCACAAGTTTGCACTAGAAGAAGGCCTTCTTTTTTTTTTTTGCAATGAAATGCCCTGAAATTGAGGAATTCCTCAATAAACAACTTCATACTTGATTTGCTGTGTATGAAGTTGGATGTGCAGTTTCCAGATGTTTTCCAAAAGGCCCTGTGCTCTGAGGTACACAGACTGCTTCGAGACATCCCTCTGGTCTGCAGAGATCCCACAGCTGTTTTAGTAAAAAATTATTTTCTTTTAATTTCATAAAATGCCACATTCAACATGCACCTTTCATCCAGAGAGACCCTAAGATGTTCAAAGGATTCAGAATTAGCGACCCATCCCCTACCCTCTGGAGTCATACACAGAAAATATTTAACATCTGTACTGCTATACCACCCAAAAGTTTTAAATTGAAGGAAGATGTGTTTCTTGCACTAAATTACCAGAGGAATTTTCAAAGTAGAGCTCAGTTACCTAGGTTGGTCAGGACGTCACTGCAGGAAAACCCTTCTTTTTCTCAAAGCGCTGAGGCGCGATGAATGAGCAACCAGCCCTTTCCCTGCCTCTTGCCCCAGAGATGGCACTGCAGGCGGTACCGGTTTCCAGCACTCAACTGGCTCTGGTGTGGTTAATAATAATAGTATTGGCCAGGCGCCGTGGCTCATGCTGTAATCCCAGCACTTTGGGAGGCTGGAGCGGGTGGATCATCTGAGGTTAGGAGTTCAAGACCAGCCTGGCTAACATGGGGAAACCCAGTCTCTATTAATAATACAAAAATTAGCTGGGCCTGGTGGTGCATGCGTGTAATCCCAGCTATTTGGGAGGCTGAGGCAGGAGAATCTCCTGAACCTGGGAGGCGGAGGTTGCAGTGAGCCGAGATCGTGCCATTGCACTCCAGCCTGGTGACAATAGCAAAACTCCATCTCCAGATTAAAAAATAATAATAACAATAGTAATAATATTACAGCTGGCTTCACTGAGTGCTTACAGTCTACCAGACCTTGAATCCAATGCTTAATGTATATGGTTTCATTTAATTCTAATAAAATAGCAACTTTATTGGGTGAGTATTGTTACTGTCCTGATTTTATAGAAGAAAAAAACTTACAAGGCTCAGAGAGTTAGTTCAGTTGTTGAGTCAAAGATCACAAAGCCAGGAAGTTAGAATTTAAATCCCGTTTTGTCTGCCTTGCATCCATGCTATTTGTCACCATGTCCCACTTGTCCTGATGCTACAAGGTGCTGAGGTATGTCCTCCGACAAATAGTGCATCTTACCAAGAACCCGGTGTGTGCAGAGTTGTGGGTTATGATCAGAAGTGGAGAGGAGGCTGGGTGTGGTGGCTCACGCCTGTGATCCCAGGACTTTGAGAGGCCGAGGAGGGCGGATCACGAGGTCAGGAGTTCAAGACCAGCCTGGCCAACATGGTGAAACCCCATCTCTATTAAAAATACAAAAATTAGCTGGGCGTGACAGTGGGCACCTGTAATCCCAGCTACTCAGGAGGCTGAGGTGGGAGAATCACTTGAGCCCAGGAGGAGGAGGATGCAGCGAGCCAAGATCGCGCCACTGCACTCTAGCCTGGGCAACAATAGCAAAACTCCATCTCAAAAAAAAAAAAAAGTGGGTAAGAGAATAACCAAGAATAACCAAGAATAACCAATCCTACCCTTACAGAGCTTACTAACAAGGTGACCCATTGCCCCAGTGTGTGCCTCAGACCGTCCCAGCTTTAGCATCCAGAGTCCCGTATGCCAGGTATGGGAGGCGGAATTCTAGGATGACTCTCCAAATTCCCTACTGCACATACACCTTCTCCAGTTATTGAATCAAACCTTAAATCTAGGTGTTATTATGAAGGGAGTTTACAGATGTAACTAAGTTGACTTTAAGATAGGGGGATTAGCCAGGTGGGCCTGACTTTATCAGATGAGTCTTTTAAACCTGGGTCTAGAGGTCAGAGACATAAGGCAGAGAGATTTGAAGTCTGATTCCACACGGCTTTGAAAATGGAGGGGGTCACACAGCACGGAATGTGGTTGACCTCATCCAGTGCTTACAGTACCCTGGTCCTATTATGCCCTTCTTAGACATGAGGAAACTGAGGCACGGAAGGTTCAGCTTCAGGTCCAAGGTCATATAGCCAGCGCGGAACAGCACTGAGATTGGTGGTCAGACCTTGGAGCCACAAGTCCGTGGGAGGCCCCTGCACACAGGCGGAGCTGGGAGTGACCTCCAGCTGACAGCTGGTAAGGAGATGGGGGCCTCAGCCATATAGTGCAAGAAACTGCATCCTGCCCACCGCCTGTGTGAGCCTGAAAACGGATTTACTCAGCCTGGCAGACACCTGAATTTCGGCTCTTTTTAGACCCTGAGCAAAAAGCCCAACCACGCCTCGCTTGGACTTCTGACTGACATATAGAACTGTGAGCTAATATGGGTGTTGATCTAAGCTGTCAAGTTTGTTATGCAGCAATAGAAATGTAATATACTAGGAAACCCTTCAGCCCCGGGCAGACTGGAACAGTTGGTCACCCCAGATGAGCACAGACCATGTGACCCCTGTGTGTCATGGGAGGCAGCTAGAGGGTGGGATAGGACAGGAGGGAAAGGGCTGAAGGCACTTTAGGAGGAGGACACCAAATAAGCAAAGACAGAGAGACAGGAATACGCAGGGATGTCAACCAAGATGCCAGCAAGGTGCCAACTGAGAGGGTTAAGTGCATAGGGGCAGAGGCTTTGCAACTTCAGCATTTGAAAAGGGTCTGTTCTGGGGTCATGAAGATGGCAATGATATTAGCAGCCTGTGCTTACAGTTTTTTCGTTTCTGTCATTCTGGCACTGATCCAGTCCAACCTCTTCCAGGAACTCTGAACTCCCTGAAGGCAGGGCTGTGGCTTACCCAGCTGTGCAGCCCTAGCACCTAGCACAGAGTCTGGGGCGGCATCATTTTGTATTCAGGAAGTGCTCAATCAAGACATGGATGAATGGCCTATTGTGGACAAAATAATACCACTTTAGGACAAACTTGAGGCCGTGACATCCCAGGGAATGCTAAGAGGTTGAAGGGTTGACCTGCCATGCTGCCACCCCGCCTCCCTTGGGATCTGACCCTCCGCCTGTGTGCAGGGGCCTCCCACGGACTTGTGGCTCCAAGGTCTGACCACCAATTTCAGTGCCGTTCCACGCTGGCTATATCACCCTGGACCTGAAGCTGAACCTTTCGTGCCTCAGTTTCCTCATGTCTAAGAAGGGCATAACAGGACCAGGGTACTGTAAGGACTGGATGAGTCAATACGACATGTCAAGCTCTTAGAATGCAGCTTGGCGTGAATTTCAATGTTTAGTTGTTATTATCGTTAATTTTTACTTTATTTTTTATTTTTATGTATTTATTATTTTTTTTTTTTGAGACAGAGTTTCACTCTTGTTGCTCAGGCTGGAGTGCAATGGCGCGATCTCGGCCCACTGCAACCTCCACCTCCCGGGTTCATGCGATTCTCCTGCCTCAACTTCCTGAGTAGCTGGGATTACAGGCATGCGCCACCACACCCTGCTAATTTTAGTATTTTTAGTAGAGACGGGGTTTCACCATGTGTGCCAGGCTGGGCTTGAACTCCTGACCTCAGGTGATCCACCCGCCTCAGCCTCCCAAAGTGCTGGGATTACAGGCATGAGCACCGCTCCCGGTCTAACTTGTATTTTAAATAGTGATGATGGGTCTCCTTCGACCAGAACTTTAGCTGGGCTCCTCTGGGTCCTCTGCTTGACTAGGCCCTACCTTGGCTTCCTTCCCTGTCCTTATAGAAGCCAGTCTGAGCAAGAATCCTGCCAAGTCAGTTTAGCAAAAGTCTCCCACTTTTGGTATCTCATCACCCTGGCCGGCCTTCAGCAAGACTCCTGTTAAGTCAAGTCAGCCAGAAACCCCTTATCTGTGATATTTCCTCTTAGTAATTTCCCATCCATTGACCCCCACCCTGCTTCTTGGTTAGAAGTCTCCACCTGTCCTCGTTGCAGCTGGAGTTGAGTCCCACCTCTCTCCCCAGCTGCAAGACCCCGTTGCTGAAGTCCCTGCACCCCTTGTCTCCACGGCTCCCCTTGAAGAAAGTTGACCTTAGCATCTTGAACAAGTGTTTGAATAAATTTCTTTCTTTAACAATAGTAATGACATATTTGCTGCCAAAATTCAGATGGAGACACTTCGTGCACCCTGCCCCAGCCCAAGGGCGTTTTCATTTTACTCAAAGATTCTTGAAACCACAAAAACCTTTTAGGACCCAACGGGAAGACTGCCCAATGGAGGTGGGTTCGACAGAGACCTCCCCAGGATGAGTAAACCTGGCCCTCTAGCTGGGTGCTCCTCAAAACACACCAGCCTTGCTGCACCTGGAGTTGTTGAGAACTGCAGAATCTCAGTCCTCTTCCAGGCAGCCTGAGTCAGAATCTGTATGTTCACAGGGTCCCCCGGGAAAGGCACCGGTCTAGACGAATTCCTATCAGCCCTGCATCTGGGCAACGCGGAATCTCTCTGACCTTTACTTACGATTTGCTTTAAAAGTTAAGTGTTTAAGCACATAGGCGAGCCAGACCAGAGAACTCTCAGTTGGCAAGAGATAACCTCATTTCCAGGGACAGCTGGCTCTCTACGTGTTTGAACAAACTGGCATTATCCAAGAGCTCTAATGGTCTGAAGTCAGGCTTAAAACTCAGCAAAAATAAACTTTCCAGGAAATTTTTGGCACACCCAGTTTCCAAACCCATCATCTCAGGAATGTTATCCAAGCAGTGGCCTCTTTCCCCACATCTAACTCTATTTCCAGTTGGGACAGTTCTTTCTCTGGCCTTGAACTGACAAAACACACACAAATGAGGGAAAACAGGGAGGCCACATTTAGTGTGGGCCTTTAGATAAGTCTCCGGGAAAGTCCATAATCTCATTTTGGCACTATTAGTGTTTGGCTTCTTAAGGCAAATGTTATTTTAAAAGAATGTCTTAAACCTGAGGGACGTGTGCTCTTGGTCACTGGGGTTCAAAGAGGTACACTTGTGAGGGCGAGAAGTAGAAACCACCGTCTGTCCTTCTTGCGGCTGTTGATGCCATGTTCTTTGTTGCCTCACTTCTCCCTTTTTTTTTTTTAATTTTATTATTATTATACTTTAAGTTTTAGGGTACATGTGCACAATGTGCAGGTTAGTTACATATGTATACATGTGCCATGCTGGTGTGCTGCACCCATTAACTCGTCATTTTGCATTAGGTATATCTCCTAAAGCTATCCCTCCCTGCTCCCCCCACCCCACAACAGTCCCCAGAGTGTGATGTTCCCCTTCCTGTGTCCATGTGTTCTCATTGTTCAATTCCCACCTATGAGTGAGAATATGCGGTGTTTGGTTTTTTGTTCTTGCGATAGTTTACTGAGAATGATGATTTCCAGTTTCATCCATGTCCCTACAAAGGACATGAACTCATCATTTTTATGGCTGCATAGTATTCCATGGTGTATATGTACATTTTCTTAATCCAGTCTATCATTGTTGGACATTTGGGTTGCTTCCAAGTCTTTGCTATTGTGCCTCACTTCTCAAGTGAGCGGAACACCCAAATCTTCCTTGAGGATGAAAACTCAAATTAGCCACGTCTGTTGAACCTGTTTACAAATCCTTCTGAATGGACTGTTGTGTGATAGCCACTATAGGAATATGAGAAGGCACGATTCCTTCACTCAGGAAACTCCCAGCCTAGAAGGGACATCTTCTGTTTGACTTATTATTATTATTTTAAGACAGTGTCTCATTCTGTTGCCCAGGTTGGAGTACAGTAGCGCTATCTCGGCTCACTGCAACGTCCGCCTCCTGGACTCAAACGATCCTCCTGCCTCAGTCTCCTGAGTAGCTGTGATTACAGGCATGCACCACCGCACCTGCTTAATTTTTATATTTTTCGTAGAGACAGGGTTTTGCCATGTTGCCCAGGCTGGTCTCAAACTCCTGAGCTCAAGCAATCTGCCTGCCTCAGCCTCCCAAAGTGCTGGGATTACAAGCGTGAGCCGCTGCTCCTGGCCTCTGTTTGCGTCTTTAGCTGCACATCTCCAGATGTTTGTAACGCATCAGTCAGGGTCTATCCTAGTAACCTACTGCTCCCTAACAAATCACTCCAATTTCAGCAGCTTAAAATACCAACCATCGCGTTAGTATCTTTCATAGTATCTGTGGAAGAGGATTTTAAGAAAGGCTCAGCTGGGTAATTCTGGCTCTGGTCTCGCCTGTAGTCACAGTCAGATAGAGATGCTGAAGCAGCCTGAGCCTCCCAGGAATCCCTCTCTTCATGTGGTCTCTCCGCATGGGCTCACTTGAGCTTCCTCAGAGTATGGCGGTCTCAAGTCAAGTGTTTTCATGACGGTTCACCCTTCATTGTTTATGACTAGTTCAGAAGTCACAGTGTCTGAACTTTTCTTATTTTATTTATTTATTTATTTTTAATTGAGACAGAGTCTCGCTCTGTCACCCAGGCTGGAGTGCAGTGGCATGATCTCGGCTCACTGCAACCTCTGCCCCCTGGGTTCAAGCAATCCTCTCACCTCACTCTCCTGAGTAGCTGGGACTACAGGTGCATGCCACCACGCCCAGCTAATTTTTGTATTTTTAGTAGAGACGGGGTTTCACCATGTTGGCCATGGCTGATTTCAAACTCTTGAGCACAAGTGATCCACTGGCCTCAGTCTCCCCAAGTGTTGGGATTGCAAGCATGAGCCACCGCGCCCAGCCATCACTTCCTCTTGAGGGTGAATTGTCCCAGTCACACTGTAAGCAGAGCTATAGGATGGGGGATATTGTAACCATCATTGGTAAATATAGTCTGCAACAGGTTTCCAGCAGAAAACAGAAGTCACATTTGAATTAGGATATTTCAGGGAAAGGTTAATGAAAGCACTAGTTATGAAGATATAAGCAGAGTGGAGAGAAACAAGAGATACAGTTTCTGATATGGTTTGGATTTGTGTCTCTGCCCAAATCTCATGTCAAATTGAAATCCCCCGTGTTGGAGGTGGGGACTGGTGGGAGGTGCTCGGCTCATGGGGGTAGATTTCCCCCTTGCTGTTCTCATGATAGTGAGTGAGTTCTCATGACATGTGGTTGTTTGCAAGTATGTGGCAGCTCCCCCCACTTTCCTCCTGCTCCAGCCATGTAGGATGTATCTGCTTCCCCTTGGCCTTCTGCCATGATTGTAAGTTTCCTGAGGCCTCCCAGCCATGCTTCCTGTACAGCCTGTGGAACTGTGAGTTGACTAAACTTCTTTTCTTTATAAACTACCCAATCTCAAGTAGTTCTTTATAGCAGTGCAAGAATGGACTGACACAGTATCCCAAGGCTGCTGATAACATAGAAATTGTCACCATCTCCATTTGGAAGGAACAAGACAAGGTTACAGGAACTCTGAAGGAGAGAAGAGTTCAGGGACAGCTCGCTTGAGAGGAACAGTCAGAGGGGACTATCCAGCAAGGAGGCAGCCAGGGAATAAAGGCCCTTAACTCACCCCCACCCCAGTCTCCTGCCAGGGCTTCTCACTGACTGAGCCTAACAGGAGGCCCAAAGCCTAAAGCCCACACTGATAAGACTCTGGGGAAGAGAGCAGAGTGGAGAGTAGAGAGGACATCTAGAGAAGCAAACAGGAGACACATAGCATAAGAAATACCTACAATCTAATGCCAATAGATTATAAAGTGTATTTCTACAAGAGGGAGATTTTAAACTATTTTCATGCAAAGTCCCAGAAATAGAAACATGATGTGGGAGAGAAGTTCACATCACCAGTAGTCTTCTGGATGTCTGGAGCCCACTTTATCTTGAGGCTTAAGAGTAGACTCCACAGTAGAGTCCTTGGCTGTTGGAAAGGAAGTTGTCCACATGAGCAATATAGACAGAGACTACTCAGTCTTTGGGCACTGATAGGAGTTGTTCCTGATGGTGATGGTCCAACAGGAAGCGTGGTTGCTGTGGCTCCTGGACACCAGTGATGGGGTAGTGGGATGGAGACTTGCTGGGAGGGATCCTGGGGGGCTTGTGGGCACCACTCTGGCTGCCAGTGCCAGCCAGTGCCCAGCAGAGCAAAGCCTGCATGATCCCTGGAGGCTGATTCTTCTGTCTGAGTGGTCCCTCCAGGCCTGGTTCTCTCATACTGTCTGAGTGGTCCCTCCAGGCCTGGTTCTCTCATCCTGAACACCACAAGCTTCTCTCCCTCATCATATTCCCTCCAACTCTCCTTTCCCCCAGTCTGGTTAATCCTTATCTCATCTGGGGTAAGAAGGCCCAGTTTTCAATCTATTCTTCCAAATCCATTATTTATTGTATAAAATGTAAACTCAAAAGTCCAGGTTCTTGTAAGTCCACATCCTTGATTTCTGCAACTCAAAAGCCAAGGCCTGGTGTGTTTATTCTCTGCATTCTGCACAGGTGTGCCTTCCTCGGGGTATATTGTATGGAATTTGGCCCTAGCAGTTTTGGGGGTCGGAGAAGATCACAAGGCTTGTGGCGGAGTGGGTGGAGGGGTGTCCCAGAGGAAAAGTATCGTCTATCTCCACTCAAACAAAGAGGTGTAAGAACACAAAAGATCACTTATGGAGTGTCCAAGAAAGATTTCATCTGATACTTTGAAAAATCAATAGACTTTCAACAGAAAGAGATGAAAGAAGCATTCTGAACAGACAGAAGATCATGAACAGGAAAATTAAAGCATATCAAGAAAAGATGTAGTTTCATTTGTAAGTTGTACAGGAGTATTTGCATGTAGGGGAAAACAATTCTAGAAGAGGTCAGGTCATGAAGGACCTAGACGGAAAGCTTTCTTTTTGCATTTAAGAAGCCACAGAGGCCGGGTGCAATGGCTCACGCCTGTAATCTCAGCACTTTGGCAGGCAGTTGAGGGCGGATCACGAGGTCAGGAGATGGAGACCATCCTGGCTAATGTGGTGAAACCCTGTCTCTACTAAAAATACAAAAAATTTTCCAGGAGTGGTGGCACATGCCTGTAGTCTCAGCTACTTAGGCTGAGGCAGGAGAATCGTTTGAACCCGGGAGGCAGAGGTTGCAGTGAGCCGAGATTGTGTCACTGCACTCCAGCCTGGGTGACAGAGCGAGACTCCGTCTCAAAAAAAAAAAAAAAAAAGAAGCCACAGAACGCTGAGTACTGAAGGTTGCTGGCAGGGTATTCAGGTCTGAGCAGCATGTTAGAAAGATGAATGCAGTGTACAGGACACAGAGACTATGGTTAGAGTGAGGGACATTCACTGAGGCCTGAACGAGGAGTCTCCTGCTGCTGGCTTCTCTCACTGTCTGGCCTGCAAGTTCGCATGTGCATTTGGAGTCCCTCCCTGACTCCAAACCTGTGTCTCCAACTCCCTGGAAGGTGTGTCCACTCGCGGGGCCCACAAGCTCCTTAACTCAATGCACCCAAAATGAAACTCTCCAAACCCTCTCCTCCACTGCCCCCGTGCTCCCCCAGACAGCTCACCTTCTTGGACTTCCCCTCACCCACTTCCTCCTTTGCAACCTCATGGTCTCCTTCATCTCTCCACGCTCGTCACAGCCAGATCCCTTAGAGTTTCCCTTGTATTTTTTCTTTTTCTACTAGACCCTTCTCCTTTCTAAGTCCTCTCTGGAACCCCCCAAGGTCAAGACATCAGCACCTCTGCCTCCAACATGTGCCACAGCCCGCTAATTGGTCTGCCTACTGCTGAACTCTCTCTGCTACCCCCCATTCTCCATAGTTCAACCACAATCTTTTCTAAACACAAAATCTCATCATGCTATTTCCCCCTTTAAAGACTTTTCTGACCGTTTCATGGTCTATAGCACCAAGAAAAACCTCTTTTGTTGGCATTTAAAGCTTTCATAAGCTGACACCAGACACTCTTCCAGCTTTGTCCATTGCTGCTCCCCCTGACATTGCAGCAGAAACTGAGGGGATCTTGGCTCTCAGCATCCAGCTGCCACACCCTTCCAGGAAGCAGCCTGTGATGGGATTAGGCCCCAGATGTTTACACTAGAGAGAAAGGGCCTTAAGACAAAAGGAAATCCTGGATGTGTGTCTGTTCAGGACAGAGGTGGGAGGAAAGCGAGAATGAGAATGTATCAGTTAGTTCTTCAAAAAGTCTGCTTGCCACCCAGTCCTATGCTACCAAAGAAATGTTTGAATTGTTATATGTTAAAGACTGAAAAAGGGCCTTCAAAAGAAACAACACATTTGGATAATATCTTATTCTGCAAGGGGCTGCCCTGGTGAGTGCTCAAGCTGGGGTCTTTACAGGTTCCTCTGTGACACAAAGTGGAGATTCCCAATTCTTCCTCTTACAAGACGCAAAAAGCTTCAAGGAGAAGCTTGGGAGGACAGCTGAGCTGGCGAGCGTTAATAAACACTGGAACCAATGGGCCAGCGGAATTGGTGGATCATAGCTAATTAAACTGTTTTTTCTTCTCTGACCCCCTGGCTCTATTAAACATAGATGATCTTAGTGAATTAAGTTTTGGCTGACTTGATGGTGTCCTGTCAGCAGCAGCAGCACTGGAGTCAGGAGGCCTGGGTTCTAATTCCGGGTGTGTCTCTAACTAGCTCCACGACCTTGGGCAGTCCCAGCCTTTCTCTCAGCCTCTGCTTCCCTATTTACCTAACAAAAGGACTGGACTCATTTGCACAGGCCTCTAAATACTCAGTTCTATATTTCTTCAATTTCATACCAATACAAATATTTCCCCTCTTTCTATTTATCTACCTCTGAATTTTACTTTTTGAATGACTTCAGTCCTCATCTTCTCTTTATTTTTTCTCCTCATCCTATCTGCTCAGCCAAGCAAGGCATAGCACTTGTCCAGCCATTTTCCAGACTCTTGACTTGGGTTTACAGAGTACGTTCTGCCCACTGCATGTGTTCAGGAGTTGAGCCTCCTTGGCTAGGACTCCAGCAGCCAACAGACCTTGGCATCTGCGCTGCCTAGGACACTTTCCAGGGCCGAAGAAGGATGAGACCTTCAGACTCTGATGCATGTGATGCTATCCTGTTACCAAAACTGTAGCATCCTTCAACAATGTTACCTGTTTGGATGATCCTATGTATGAAATTAATTTTTCAAAAGGGAAAGTAAATTCAAAGATAGGGTAAGCAGTGACCAAACTAAGGCCATGCCAGTCATTCTGACAGGAAGGAAATCCTTCCAGTCTTTGCAGTCTTGGCACAGCTCAACATTTTGTATCTGCTTTCAGGATGTTCTTGGATCCCTTGAAGTCAATAAACCTCATAATAAGGGCCTTGAGATATATATACATACATATGAAACAAAGGTCAGGATTTTTCTCCTCAAAGACAAAACATCTGGATGAATGGCTGAGTTTTCCACTTAAGAAATGATGTCTTGGCCGGGCACGGTGGCTCACACCTGTAATCCCAGCACTTTGGGAGGCATAGGTGGGTGGATCATGAGGTCAAAAGTTCAAGACCAGCCTGGCCAAGATGGTGAAACCCCGTCTCTACTACAAATACAAAAATTAGCCAGGAGAGGTGGCAGGCAGCTGTAATCCCAGCTACTGAGGAGGCTGAGGCAGGAGAATTGCTTGAACCCTGGGGCACAGAGTTTGCAGTGAGCCGAGATCGTGCCACTGCACTCCAGCCTGGGCGACAGAGTGAGACTCCATCTCAAAAAAAAAAAAGAAATGTTGGCTGACTTCACCTTAGCTCAGATGGAGTGATGAGCTACCCAGTCCCAACTTCCCAGGCACCCTTGAACAAGGGGCCAGGGGTACATGGCAGCCTTGTCTCTATCAACCTGTGAAGTTGCTTATGGTGTTAAAATGTTGCCAGAGATCAAGGATGTCCAGACAAACACCAGCTAAATCTAAAAAGAAGTCAGAAAACTAATACAAGCTTAAAATACCAATTTCAGCACAGATATGCTTATCTTTTAGACTTACTTTATTTACCCACCTCACATGACATGGGGAAGAATTCCTGAAGAACGTTTTCCCACTGATTGTTTAAAATCCTTCCTCTCAATAAAGTCCTTTCTAAGTACACATGGTTCCGTTTCATTCTCTGGCTCATCCTCTTAATCACCTGCCTTTAGCGTCTCTAATTTACTTATTTGACAGTATTTATTGAGCATCTGCTATGGGCCAGGCACCAGGTTAAGATGGCAGGAAGCCGAATGAGACACGGTCCTGACCTGCGAGGGCTCGTGGTTGAGTCACGAAAAACTACACTGAAAGAATGGCAAATAGCGAGATGTGTGCCAGGAAAAGACACGTGGCAAGTAAACTCACTCCTGGAGGAAATCAAGAAAGAGAATGGTTGGGTTTTCTCAATAATCCATAGACTATCAGGGCCAGAAGAGACTTTACAGATTATCTGTTCTAACCCCCTCATTTTATAAATGGAAAACAGAGAGGGGAAGAGCCACACAGTTTTAAAGCTGGGGCCAACGCGTAATGAATTCTTTCTCTTTTCCTGGCTGATAATTTGTTGTGTGTCTCTCAAATTGTCTCTTGAGGTAGGTAAAATAGAAATCATCAGTATACCACTGAAAGAAATCTATTTTGTTTTCTGACTAAAAATCTACAAGATATACCTCATCAACATTTGTTTGAAAATGTGACTATTCTTTGAAGATTACTATCATCGATTCACATTCAGTGCCTTGCCTGGGTATTTTTAAGTTGTTCCTTATTCCAGCATTCCTACCACTAGTCTCAGCTATCACAGTCCTTTATAGAAAACGTCATCATGATTCTTGTTGTTTCTCTACATTTACATAGCACCTCGGAGTTTAAGAAGCATTTTCAGATCCATTGCTTCCACTGGGGGAGTCAAGTTGTTGGCTTGATAGCTTTAGAGGGACATGACAAGTAGAAGGAGGTTTGGAAAGGAGCAAAGCACGTGGTGACAGTGCTGGGGAACAAGACCTACAAAGCCGGGTGACAGGAGTAGGACGCCTGGGACTGCTCTTGTGGGGCCAGATCACCAGGGGAGGGCTAGGGAATGGATTTCTAGTCCATGAAGTCTAGTGAGCGGAAAGGAAACACATCAATAAACACATCAATAAACATACTGAATAATGCCTGTGTGCAGGGCACCATGCTAAGTGGATTCAAAGATGAGTGATCAACGTACCCCCTTCAAAGAATGTTTTGGATTTCTGTTCAATCTCCTTAAGCCACCGGGAGTGGAAGGCATGAGTGAGCAGAAGCCACTGAGCAGAGAGAAGTGGATGTACCAAGCTCCTGCTGTGTGGCCTCGGCTTCTCCAGGAGGTTTGGACTTAACCCCTATTAGTGACTCAGGCTAAGGCTCTTCATGGAAGAATGGGCTGCCTCCCCGGGACTTGCTGGAAGGTGACATGGGTGCATTTAGGCAGAGTGGAGGGTGATCTGTCACGGAAATGGTAGACCCTGGTCCTTTCCCTTGAACATCTCAGGTTGAACACTGGGGCGGTGCTTCATTATGAGCCATTAAGTGGATTCTCATGAGTGAGTTTCTGTTGGCCTTATAGACAATGGGGTTTTAATCATGTTTATCTAGGCTAAGAGAGGACAAGAGAACCATTTGTGTACTTTCAAAGAATCAGGGCCCCATGGCTGAGTGCTGCTGGGGACGTAGAGGAGCAGCTAAGAGAGCCCAGAGGATGATCACGGAACTGGGACAGGGAGCGCCCAAAACCATGTGAGAGGCCATGGGTGGGGGGTGACTGAGAAACAAGCTACTAACCACCTTGAAATACATGAAGGGTAAGAAGAAACTCCCACAGGACTCTCAAATCAGAATGTAAAGGTAATGCAGGGAGGGGAATGGACGCAGGAGCTGGAGGAGTATAGAATTGTTACAAAGCAACCGTGAAGATGAAGACTTTGGAAAGGAAGGACACATTGGAACTAGCCTCACACAGGTGTTAGACTAGTCGTGGGAACTTCAGACCCACTACAGTGCTGCATGCTTCTGGATAGCAGGTCTTCTTGCTAATTTAAAATAGCCCCTGGCTCTCTCACCAGATTGGCCACAACCTCCCAGCAGACCCCCTGGCCTCCCTGTGCTGGCCCCAACTACACTCTCATGCTCCTTTCCCACTTCTCCCACCTCATCTTGCAGATTCCCTCCTCCATAGCCTCTTTCTGGATCTCTCCCACGGATGTCTCATCCTTCAAGGCTCACCTAACGTGCTACCTCCTCCAGGAAGCCTTTCCTGATCCATGCCACCAGATGGTACATGCTCCCTGCGGGAACCCATATAGCACATTGTGCCTCTTTATGGCACTTTCACTTCCTCCTGCATTCTAACAAATTGTGTGCTTGTCTGAGCTCTCACCCCCACCTCTCCTTAGAAAACTTCAAGGGCAGAGACCTGATCCTTTCATTTGTGTATTCACAGTGCCAGGGCAGGAACCAGTGTGCCATAGACACTCAATAAATGTTAAATTGCATTTCAGCCAATGCATACCTTGGACAAAGTTTCTGTGTTCCTTTAGAGGTTATGACCGAGACTCGGGCTTAAACACTTGCCTCTGTCACTAGCCAGGTGATCTAGGGTAACTTAATTCATCTCTGCACCTAGGTTTTCTCATCTGTAAAATGAGCACAACAGGACCTACCTCCAAAGGACACTGTGGTAGTCTTCATAAAGCCCTTAGTAGATTGTCTGGACACACTGTGAATGCTCAGTAGATGTAAGACAGGGTTAGCAATGTGCAGTATAAGGGACATAATTTCCTTTCGATTGCCAAGAGTGCAGTGATTCATATGCTCCTTTTCTACCTGGCAGTCTTTATCTTCTGTAAAGCACATCTTTGCACAAAGCAGCTTCATATCATTTCAATGCTGTTAGATATCTGGGCGCCATATACACAGGAATGCTAGTAGGCAGTTTGTTAACTAGGAATCAAATATACCAATCAAAGAGATTTTCCTCAAAGTGATTTGCCAATTCATCCATCCATCAAGCCTGTGCCATTACAAGCTGCGTGAGTCCTCCAAGGCCTGCGAAAATGAAAATGAACAAAACCAAACCCCTGTTCCCATGTTGATCACAGCCTCCCCGGGCAAATATAGCAAAGACCTAGATAGAACTATAAAAAGAGGCTGCGAGAGTCCAAAGAGGAGAGTGGCCGCCCCTGTGCATGGTGAGGAGAGGTTGGGGAAGTGGGAGCGCCAGCAGGCCTCATGGAAGAGGGGGTGTGCAGCTGGACCCTGCCAGGTGAGTAGGAAGAAGTTTGTCAGAGAGAGGAGGTAGAAGCATCTCCAAAAACAGGAAGCAGCAAGTGCAAAGAGACAGAGTCCTTGAGTCCACATTCGGCAAATGCTGAGGTTGGTGGCCCTAAAAGGCCCAGAAAATCAATCCACATTCTTCTAATACTGATGTGGATTTTATTTAAAATAGAAACACTTCCACCAAATTAGTTATGAATCCCAGAAGAGATTATCTTATTGCTAAAATAAATGTTCTTTTCTTATTTCTTCCAAAATGATTTGATGGTTATTTTTCTGAAGCATATTTCTGATTTCTCTTGAAAACAAGTGCCTTCAGAAAGTCCATGTCAGCCAAGGAGAAACAACTCAAAAGTAGCCCAGGATCACAACTATTTAGCCCCACCAAGGATCAAATTCTTCATATTCTCTAAACTACCCCCCCAGCACATGGAGTGATTTCAGCTCTTCAAAGCCAGTAAAGAGATAAGTTCATTGAAACTCAAGATGACAGGCACAGAGCTCATTATATCTGGTTTCATTTGTTCCTTCAGTTATTCTCTGAGGACAGTGGACAGTGAATGCAGCCAGACGTCTCTT
This sequence comes from Homo sapiens, assembly GCF_000001405.40. NCBI lineage: Eukaryota > Metazoa > Chordata > Mammalia > Primates > Hominidae > Homo > Homo sapiens. The sequence goes on from NC_000003.12 coordinate 194,200,686, forward strand.
TCAGAAGAGCACAAATGGAGGAGGAAATTTTGTTCATAACTTTGCTGGGAGAATGTTTGGCCAAATGCAGTGGCCTGAGGCCAGAAAATGCCATTTTTTATCTCCAGTGCAGACAGGCAGAGAGGAGGTGTAATGGATTTAGCAAGATAAAGACTTGGACCCACAGAAAAAGAAACACACACACATCCACATGCACACGTGATCCTCACGGAAAATTAGACTTCACTTCCACCTCTTGAGGTGGGAATTGTAGTCTTACTGAAATTACAGAGACGAAGCTACGGTCATATTACACAAAGCTGTATCTATCAGTGAAGGGTGGCCTCTTGGGAATGAACTATTTAAACAACAATTGCGTGTCCAGAATTCATGATGTGAGCAGATTTTTCCTGAAAGAGGCAACTTGGCCTGTTGGGATCAGAACTGTTGCTTATTTGATTGTTTTCCTTTTGGTCTCAGACGCTGGGGTCTCAGTGTCAGCTGGAGACTGAAAACTTCAGCCTGCAGGGAGAGATGGGACAGAGGTGGCCCTGAGGGCCTCTGAGTCCTGGCTCCAGGTGTCCCATTCGTCGGCCCTTCCTGTGCTTGGCTATGCAAGCCAATCCATTCTCTGCGATTGCTTGAAATTTGTAAAAAAGAAAGAGAATGAGGCTTTGTCATCATTGTGAGCTTGAGTAAATCATTTCTCACTTCTAGACCTCGGGTTTCTCACTTGTTAAGAGGGTGGGGGTGGGAGACTAAGCAAATCCTCAGGTTCTTAAAATTTGTTGATTTAATTGATCTGGAAAAGGGATTTTTTCCACCATTTTGGTTTAGGAATATTTTATGGGGCCCAGGATGCAGAGGTTCCTTGAGTTCCTCAGTGAAGGACCGCAGTGACTTCATGGTTGGGGTGGCAGTTAACCTGAGCAGCAAAGACTGCTGGGTAGAGCTAGGCGCTGCTTTTCAGAACCAAAGGCTTCACCTATTTGAAACTTGTATTATGGAGGCATGTTACAGAGGAAAGAGCACAAGACTTAGAATAATTGTCCTAGATTTGAGTCTAGCCACTAAACTAACTCACTGAGATTGTGGCCAGGGCACACCCCAATTTGGGGACTCAGTTTACTTGTGGGTGAAGTGAATATGGGAGACAGACTCCCAGGAGGCTCCATGGTCCATGCTCCCTGGTGTACCCACCCTTGTGGGATCCCTTCCCTCCAGTGTGGGTGGCACCTGTGACTTGTTTCTAACCAACAGAATATGGCGATGGTGGTGGACGTCAGTGTCATGATATTAATATATTCCAGCGGACTTGAACACCCATCTTACTAGCCGACTTTTGCTGTCAACTGTCTCCCTTGCTGGCTTTGATGGAGTAAGCTGCCATAGAGAGAGGTCCTGGAGAAGAACTGAGGGTGGCCTCTGGCTGAGGGCCCACAAGAAGCTGAGGCCCTCAGGCCAACAACCCTCAAGGAACTGAATTCTGTCAACAACCACATGATTTTGGAAGCAGAACCTTCCCCGGTCAAGCTGCAGATAAGATCCCCAGCCCTGACTGACTCCCGGATTAAAGCACCGTAAGAGAATCTAAAACAGAGGAATCAGCTAAACTGTGCCTGGACTCCTGACCCACAGGAACTGTGAAATAATAAATGTGCTGTTTAAAAGTACGAAGTTTGTGGTAATTTGTTATGCAGCAGTAGATAAGTAACACAACAAAGCAGTTATAACCTTCTGTACCTGACATCCTGTGAGCATGACAATACTCTTCTTATGATACCAGCATTACACATGTAACAGAAACCACTCCATTATGACATACACAAACATATTGTAAGCTGCTGTTACTATGCTGGGTTGAGAATTATTCATCTTTCTAGAACTCCTAGGGTACTTGTTCTGTATTTAGATTCTCATTTAATCAGGACTCATTTCCAGGCTTCTTCCTGCTGATTGTAAATACCATGCTCACACACACAGGTCCACATTCACACATACAGATCCACATTCACACACACAGGTCCACACACACACACACAGGTCCACGTTCACATACAGATCCACATTCACACACACAGGTCCACACACACACACACAGGTCCATGTTCACATACAGATCCACATTCACACACACACAGTTGCACACTCACACACAGGCCCACACTCACACACACAGGTCCACACTCACACACACAGGCCCACACTCACACACACACATCCACACTCACACACAGGCCCACACTCACACACACAGGTCCACTCTCACACACAGGCCCACACTCACACAGGCCCACGTTCACACACACAGGTCCACATTCACACACAAGATCCACACTCACACACACAGGTCCTGCATCTCGCTGAATTTAATTAAGGATCAACCTGAAATAAAATGGCTCCAACAGGGCAGAGGATGCCTCTGAGAGGTTCTGAGGACAGGAGCAAGAGACTTTGGTGTTATTTGGTGTTGTTGGTCCTGACAGTCAGGGTCAAGTAGAAGAATATGAATCAATGAAGCTTGAGGAAAAATTAGAAAATTAGTCTAGCAAGGGGAGCCCCATTTCTGTGCAGAAACATATGGCCACCTATAACCAGCAGCTAAAGATATTGGACTTCTTTTAACATACAGAGGTGCCCAGAACAAGTGTAAGGGCCTCAGTGAGCTGCAAGTTAACGTTTTGTTGCTTTCCAAGTCTGCTTTTCTGGAATCCTGACATCCCCTACAAATAAAATCAACATTGTGGACTGTCTCATTTTAGCCATGAAAGGAATGGACCTAAAGTCTGGTTAGTGTCTGAGGTGGTGGTTGTCGAAGGTTCCAGAGAGGTGCCAAGGAAATATGGCTCAGCCGCATCTCCATGAGGAGGAGTAAGTCCATGCTTCTGCCCACAGGGGCCTTCTAGGCTACCGGTGAGCTGTCACTTCCTCTTCCAGGAGAGTTTGATGGGTGCTGGTGCAGCAGCCGACTTAGGAACCAGAGGAGGTGAAGACACCCAGGAGATCAGAGCAGGGCTGGGGAGTGAGGAGAGCAGCGCTTAGTGCTTTTGAATGATGAATTCCTGCCCTTAGAGACTTAGTAGGTGGCGTCATTTCCTCCCGGGTACCCGTCCCCCCAACACCTGCTTTGTCATTAAAGGACGATCCACCTCTGCCGAAGAAGAACTTAAAGGACAGGCATGTAAGACGCATTAAATGACAAAATATAACCTGATGAACAAAGGCAAGGGGGCAGTCTCGGTTCATTGAGCCAGGGGGATTTGGGTAAACTTCCCAGGGGCATCCCTGGTGACCCCTCCAAAACCCCAGCAAGAGGCTGAACTGGGCAAGGGTTAACTGGCATTTCTTGATGAAGTGATTTCAGCTCTGAAAGTCTGATGCTCGCGGCCCCAGCAGGAGGCCCCTGGAGTCCCAGGTTTGGGACAGGGCGAAGTGCCAGGCGGTCTCCTGGCCTCGGTCCCTGACAGCGAGGGCAGCAGCGAAGGCAGCCGCGGGGGCGGCGCTGGAGCCGACGACCGGGCGGGGAAAGCCCGAGACGCGGCCCGGGCCCGGGGTCTCGGAGGCTCGGGGACTCCGGCGCGGGCGTGTCTCTGCCCCACGCCGCCCACAGCAGCCGACCCGGCCCCGGGGGTAGATGATCCGCGGCGCGGAGCCCCCTGGCCCGGGCCTGCCTTTGTGGCGCGGCGGCGCGGCCGCCTTTGTCCCTCCGGCGCGCACGCCCCGCCGCGCGCCGCCTTCTGCAAGGATCACCCCCGCCGCGGCGCTACCTGGCCCTTTGTCACCAGCTGCCAAAGAATTCAGAAAATCAAATTTATTTCCCGATTACGGCCGGAGCGCCCCTTTGTGCAGAGGGGTCTCTTTAACTGCTGAGATTCCAGCAGACACTGTGCAGCCCTTTATGGCGCAAAATAAAAGCCGTCCCGCTTCTTGCCCCGGCCCCCGCCGCCCCTCCCGGCTCCCCTGACTTCCAAGCCCCTGTGGGAACCTGGGAGGGACGCTCTTCTCTCAATAAAAACGCTTATGAGCCCGAAGACATTGGGGCTTGAGTGTCTTGCCAGCTAAAGGGGATAAATCAATGGGCATCTTGAGTTCGGGAGGGTGTATTTCCCTTTTTTTCTGGGAATGAATAGATGAATGGTAACTCCGTTTCTTACCAGCCCAGCACTGTCCGAAACTCGCCTGGACAAGTCCAACTTCATTCTTTTCAGTACGACTAGCTCCTGTGCGCTGCAGAAGACTCGGGCTGATCTGAAAGCGCCTCTCCTATTCGAGACTCTCAGGTTTTAAGTAGGTCTTCCGCACCTGCAGATGAAAAAAGATGTGGCTATTATTTTCCTCGATTACGTTGACATTGCCTGAAAATGAATACAAAACATTGCCTTGCAAAGATTTTTTACCTTTTCTTTATTTCTTTCTTTTTTGTGTGTGTGATTGTGCAGGGAAATAAATGTATGTCTTTTATATTTTTGAGAAAAGTCTAGAGTGACCACATGTTCACAGCACGCATTCCCACACTTCTTGTCCACTCATAAAGCAATGGATAAGAGAGACGGATATGCACAAATCTACTAACCCATCAACATCAGCCCAATAATAAATGCTCCCATGAAAACAGTTACAAAGGCCATCATAATTTGTACTCTCATTATAAAATATTTAGCAGTATAACTTGAATTATATAGTCATGGAAGGAAGAAATCTGTATTGGAAGAATTAGGCCCATTAATTGTAAATCATACATGTTATAAGGCTTTTGCAAGCTCTTAAGAATAATAATACATAATACATAGATATTTAGCACTTAGGATTTTTTTTCACCATCTCTTTTTTTTTTTAATCGTGAGAATTGAAAGACGCCACTCAGTCATTCTGTGACTACAGGAAGTGATTATAAATCAATGCCACAGTTGCTAACAGACGGCATTCCTCTCTTTATACACATCTGTGTGTCTCCTCACACACAGGCGTACATGCACACACATATGCACACACACACACAAGTGCTTGGCCCACTCAGCCTCCCCATAATTTCACAAAAGAGTGACTCTAATGTTTGCTGCCTCGTGGGGAGCCGGTGGGCACAGCAGTGGATTGGATACCTACACCAGAGAAGGCCTGAGAGGCGTAATCAAATAAGGGAACCACTTGAACTGAACTCCCAGCAGGAGCGGGAGGGAGGCCTTGAGAGGTTACACGTAGTTTTTATCCAGCCTTGCAGGAGAGCACCAACTTCCTGCTGCTAGAAATTTGTCTGCAAATTTTTTCCTCATTCAGACAGAGAGCTGGGGTCCAGGAAACACTGGGTTGATATGATAACTTGATTAAGTCTGGGGACAGATGACACGGGAGCACCAACTCGACTCAAAGGAACCTGTGCTCTCCTCTTTAACCTCTCCTTGGGAGCCTACAAATTATATCTATTAATGCATCAGCCCCGGGAACTGCACAAAGACATTGTCTGCCTAAATGTATGTCAGTCATTTGCAGGGGCCTTTGTGGAATTCCCACCACATTTTCATGTCTCTTCGCTATTTGAAAAAATAAAATGTAAACTGATGGGCTAGACAAAGGCTCACAGTCTACCTCCTCTCGTTAAAATCGCTTTGAAGGCAGAAGTCAAGTTCATCAGCAAAAGTGTTCAAGAAATTCTTGAAATGGGCCCTGGGCAGCTGGAGCATATCCAGGGGAGAGAAACTACAAGGAAGAAGGGTTTGGAAACTGCATCCAGTGAAGCATGGATGGAAAACCCAGGGATTTGCCTGGAGAAGAGAAAACACAGAGAGGACTTGGGAGCTGAAGAAGTGCCAACGGGAAGAAGGATGAGAGTTTGCTGTGGGTCCCGGGACAGAGCCCAGGGAGAGACAGGCGTTCGCCAAGTGCCAGCAAAGTGACTGGATGAAAAATGGGCCACGTGCTGGGGCCGCCCCTGCGGATGTGAGGAAATCAGTAGCGTGGCCACAGCTGCACAAATCACAGCTGCCTCTCCTGGTGTCTGATCCAGGAGACAGCCGGCCATTGAGAGGCTGGTAAACCTCAGCTCCAAATAACGTGAGTTTTTAAAATGTGAGGGTTAATTTAACATACAGTAAGTTTTGTATCCACCACCCCAGTCAAGATATAGAAAATTTCTACCACCCCTGAAAGTTCCCTTGTGCCTTCTTTCCAGTCAGCCCATCACATCCCACTCCACCTCCTAGGCAATTATTGTTCTTTTTTTTTTTTTTTTAAGAGATGGATTCTCACTCTGTTCCCCAGGCTGAAGTGCAATATCAGGATCATAGCTAACTGCAACCTGGAATTCCTGGGGTCAAGTGATCCTCCTGCCTCAGCCTCCCAAGTAGCTAGGACTATAGGTGTGCACCACCACACCAACTAGTTTGTTGCTATTTTTTGTAGGGATGCGGTCTCTAACTACTGGCCTTAAGCAATCCTCCCACCTCAGCCTTCCAAAGTGCTGAGATTCCAGGCATGAGCCACTGTCCCTAGCTGGCAATCGCTGTTCTGATTTCTATCACTCTCAATTAGTTTTGTCTGTTTTTAGAACTACATTTAAATGGGATAATACAGTATGTACTCTTTTGTGTCTGGTTCCTTTTATTTAGAGGACGCTCTTGAGATTCATCCATGTTGTTTGCTCATTTTTGTTGCTGAGTAGTATTCCCTAGGAGGGCTATAACACAGTTTGTCCACCCATTCTCCTGCTGATGTGTATTTAAGTTGTTTCCAGTTTGAGGATATTATGAATATAGCTGTTATGAACAGTCTCATAATACTTTTCATTTCTAAGTCATAGGATTAGGGTATATTCCAAATGCCTTTTTTTTTTTTTTTTGACCAAGTCTTGCTCTGTCACCAGGCTGGAGTGCAGTGGTGCGATCTTGGCTCACTGCAACCTCCACCTCCCAGGTTCAAGCTATTCCCCTGCCTCAGCCTCCCGAGTAGCTGGGACTACAGGCGCCCGCCACCACACCAAGCTAATTTTTTGTATTTTTAGAAGAGATGGGGTTTCACCATGTTGGCCAGGATGGTCTTGATCTCCTGACCTCGTGATCTACCCACCTCGGCCTCCCAAAAGGGCTGGGATTACAGGCGTGAGCCACCACGCCGAGGCCCAAATGCCATTTTAAACAAGACTGCAAAGCAAGAAAAGCCTGAGGTCATGAAAGGTGTTGTCTTCAGCCAAGACTGAGAAGAGTTTCTGGGACTTGACAGTTTCTAGCTATTGTCCTCACCTTCCCCAGACAGCACAAGTTGCATCCTCGTTCCTCTCACTGATGGGCAGGGGGCATATACTGAGATTGATCTAGGGCGGCCTGGGATTCTTCATGAGCAAGAATATCCATCTTAGCAAAATGGGTATTGGCATCATTCCAGCTTACTCAAAATATGTGTATTCCCATCTACTGAGCTCCCACTATGGGCTGGGCCTTGTGGGTAGACAAGGGGCCATAGGCTGAGAGAGATGAATTTGATGAGGGACCTGTCTTTAAAGTGCTTGCTGCCAGGTGCGGTGGCTCACGCTTGTAATCCCAGCATTTTGGGAGGCCGAGGCAGGTGGATTACCTGAGGTCAGGAGTTTGAGACCAGTCTGGCCAACAAGGTAAAACCCCATCTCTACTAAAAATACAAAAATTAGCCGGGCATGGTGGTGCATGCCTGTAATCCCAGCTACTCGAGAGGCTGAAGCCAAAGAATCACTTGAACCCGGGAGGCAGAGGTGGCAGTGAGCTGAGATTGCGCCATTGCACTCCAGCCTGGGTGACAGAGCAAGACTCCGTCTTAAATAAATAAATAAATAAATAAATAAATAAATAAATAAAGTGCTTGCAAGTCTAGAAGGAGAAATTTAAAAAGTAATAAATTATGAAACCATAAGTCAGTCTTCAACAAACACTTGGGAGTCACCTGCTGTGCTGGCTCTGGGCTGGTGCTGACATGGTGGGGAGATGGCTAGACAACCACAGAGAGAACGTGAAGGCCACCCATCTGAACCATGGGGAAAGAGGGACAGAGCCTCCCACTCTGGAATAATGAGTCCCCTTTAGCAAAGAGGATATAAGGACAACGGAGAGGTTGGATTTGGATTTGGAACAGGTATTCCAAACCCCAGATCTGCTGCATCACCTTGGGACACAGAACCTGTCTCTGCCAGGTGTGCTCATGTGTCCTTATCATCTGACTTCAGGTGGCACTAAAGCTTCCAAGTCAAATCAAAGCCATCAGAACACAGAATGCTGGTGCTGGGAGGCCCTTTAGAGGTCACGGTTCACTCCATCCCAAGTACAGATGGAGAAACAGAGACCCAAGCAAAGATAAATCACTGTCTCAAAGTCACAGGGAAAACACGTTTGCCTCCCACTACAATTCATATTATATGATGTCAGTCCCTCATTTATTACAGGTTCTTATTACATAATAGAGACCTATTTATTTATGATATTAGCTTTGCAGGGATAAGATTAGCAGATTCCCTGTAGTCTCAGCAGGTTAATCAGACTTTGCCTGTGAGCAGCTGTTACATTTGGAGAGACACATTTTTAATCCAGAAGTTGTCTAAACTTTATGATAAAAACAGTAGACCGTGTTATGATAGGGCCTTATGTTATTAGGACTCACTCATCTTCTATATCAGGTTGTTTATTTTTCTATTTGTTAGGCTTTTATTTTATTTATTTTTTTGAGATGGAGTCTCGTTCTATTGCCCAGGCTGGAGTGCAGTGCCACGATCTCAGCTCACTGCAACCTCCACCTCCTGAGTTCAAGTGATTCTCCCACTTCAGCCTCCTGAGTAGCTGGGACTACAGGCGTGCACCACCATGCCTGGCTAATTTTTTTTTATTTCTTTAAGCAGAGACCGGGTTTCACCATGTTGGCCAGGCTGGTCTTGAACTCCTGACCTCAAGTGATCCACCCACCTCGGCCTCCCAAAGTACTGGGATTACAAGTATGAGCCACTGCTCCTGGCCTATCATTTTTTCTATACACAGGTTTGACAACTGTTTAATCATAGAAAACTGTATAAACAACTTTAGAGTAAAACTTCATCCCTATAGCCTTTAAAAACACTGATGTATATTACTGCAAAGTGAAAGAAAGTTGTGAATATATTGAATTTTCATATTACCATCCAAATGGTTGTTGACAAATTTGTTTAAAAGAAAAAAATGAATTTGGATTTATGCAAACTTGGCAGGAATTTACAAATCAGAGGGAATAAAGACAGCAATGTTCATGGTTCCTGCTTTGTAGTTTTTTAATAGTAATAAAAATTATACTTGATACATACACAACATTTTACATTTTCCAAAACACCTTTATATGCGTACTTTTACAGGAAATCCTGATAAATGACAAGATATATGCTACCTCCCTGCTGCAGATTGAGAAGGCAGAGGCTTGTCCATGATCACATAGCTAATAGGGCCACTGTGATCTCCACCCACCACCCTTTGCCCAAAGAGCAACATAGCGCCATGTGATGGTCCCACACAGAACCCAAGAAAACTCGAGGACGGCATTGACACAGTAGCTCTTTTAGGGCTGATTGTAAGATCTGTGATCACAGAATTTTTTTCAAACATATGATACGCATTTCAATAGGTCTTCTGCCAGAAACAGGGTTAGCTATATAATTTGTGGATTTTATTTACTATTTAGTGTCTTCCTAAGTAAAGAAAAATTCACATTTTAAATTATTAGCATGAGTTTTACAATTCCTCTTTAATTTGAATAGTGCCAGTTTTAAATGCAAATATAAGAACATTTAACTCCTACGCAGAATCACCAAAATTGCAGAATTTTTATTTTGTAGCCTATATATGTATGTATGTATGTGTGTATACATGTATATATATATATTCTTACCAGAACAGTGAAAGTGCTATACAAAACTAACCCCGCTGTTTTCATTTCTCTTGGTAATACACACACATTTCCCAGCCCTCTGTACCTTTGGCTTATGATGAGGCTGAATGAAAGGGCAGGGAGCTATGGATCATCCTTGCTCTCTCGTTCCTTCTCGTGTCATTTTCAATGGATCTGTTTTGCTAACACAAGGACATAAGGTGAGTAAGAAAGGATATGATGGGATTATTTGGTCAATTGTGTTTTTCTTAGACTGCCACTGTCTTTTTTTGTAATCTTTTTTTTTGTTTTGTTTTGTTTTTGAGACAGAGTTTTGCTCTTGTTGCCCAGGCTGGAGTGCAATGGTGTGATCTCGGCTCATTGCAACCCCCACCTCCTGGGTTCAAGTGATTCTCCTGCCTCAGCCTCTCAAGTAGCTGGGATTACAGGCGCCCACCACCACACCCAGCTAACTTTTTGTATTTTTAGTAGAGATGGGGTTTCACTATGTTGGCCAGGCTGGTCTCAAACTCCTGACCTCAGGCGATCCACCCATCTCAGCCTCCCAAAGTGCTGGGATTACAGGCATGAGCCACCGCGCCTGGCTCTTTTGTATTCTTTTGTACTGGTTTGCAAGGAGTGCATGGCTTCTAAGGGCCCTAGGGGCCCGCTTACTCAGGTGTGGGCAGAGTGTGCTTACCTCCCTGAGTCTCGACGAGCTCCTGGGCATCATGGGCCCACTGGACTCCTGGACTCCTGAGCATGGAGAATGCTCTGTATGAATGGCATAGCGAGGAACTGCAGTGGCATGACCCCTCTCCTCCACTGTCTCACTGGGCTTCACTTACAAAAAAGAAGTTCAAAGATGAAATTATCAAGAATGTCAAGACAGTGACAGAAGAGCATTAAGCCAAGCACGTGACCCTTCTCAGCATAGAGTCCTCTATAACAGAACTTCACGGTCACATGGCAAAGTCAGCACAGAGTATTCCTAGTCTAGAGGCTTTAAGAGTACAGATGTGTCTCTCAGGCCCCAGGCTGAACTTCTAGACGAATTCCAGGGTGGAGCACCTTCCTCACAATATCCCTAGAATTGATGAGGCTCCGTGAAGCATAATCCCAGAGGGAAGCTGGAACTCCCAGCACTGCCCTACCTGAGAGCCTCGTGCCTATAGCTGCGTGACTTGAGGATGAGGAAGGAAGGGAAAGGGGACAGTAGAAATCCTCCAGGCACAGCTAGAGTGCAGTGGAAGCAGTCTTGTCAAGAAAATGCTATTATGACCAGAAATTAAAGGGGAAATCCAAAATGTTGTTATAACCTAGCGATGTTCTTCTTTACCCACAAAACAATGCTTTAAAGAAACTAATTGCTCAAGACATCTCTCTCGAATACACATTTACACAGTCTATTTAATACAACCCCTGGAACAACTGCAGTGAAACAGAGCGTCAGGGAAACCTAACTTCCAGACACAGCTCTGATTCCTTCTTGATGGGTGACTCTGGGCAGGCCACCTAACTTCTCTGAGTCTCAATTCTCTTATCGGTAAAATGGGAATAATGATTCCTAACCCAGAGGTAGGGTCCTTGTGAGAGAATGCATGTAAAAGTGAGCTGTAAGCTGTAAATCACTGTGCACACATGAAGGCATGTATATTGCATTGGCACGTTGGTATCCTGTGTACAAACGTTATATATCACACACGGACACCATCAGGAAATTCCACTCCGGGGCAGAGTGATTTACAAAGCCTGCTCAGAAGTGGAGTCAATTAAGGTCAGCTTTCTATGTTGCTAAACAACAGGGGATTCTGGGTTCAGTAACGTTGAAAGGCAGGCCCAACACACCCCTTGAAACTGGGCTTTTGAGAGGGTTCAAAGGAAGGCGAAACAAAAGCCCCTCTTTGTGATGTTTTCACTCTTCCTGCATTGTCCTCTTTCACCCTCCAAGGGCCTTCATGTAAAGAAGGGCTGCTAATGTGGCGAGTGGGAGTTTGAAATTGTCCTGGGCCAACAATGTTGGCACATTCTGCCGGGCCTCATTACAGAATCATCTGAAATGCTCTAGAAGTGTTTCCCACTCATTAGCATAAATAGCAGAAAAACTCTTTCACAAACAAAGCAGGTTCCATCTGCCCCAGTATGTCCTCACCTTGACTTCAAATGGCCAGTCCCTCCCCCAGCACAATACAGGGGCGCCGGCCTCCGAGGCCCCAAACACCCCACTTCAGAACAGCATTCAGCGAAATATCAACACGGTAACCTGCATGTTTATTCATTGGCCAGCCCCCTCCTTTTAATGGAGTCCCTTCCCCATTGTGACCACTTGATTCTTTCACAGACCTAAAAGGGACAGGCAGGGAGAGGCTTCCTTTCGAAGCTGTTGGGATCCTTAGCAACCCACACCTTGTGAGTGGGTCAACTAGGCTAATTAGGTTTGTTCTGCCTTTTTGGCCCAGGCGTATTTTGTCAGGTATTCTGCTGTGAGATTAAAGAGTCATTAATCACCCAGGCCTGACGCTGACAAGGTGGCTTTTACAATGAAGTCCACTTCCCTGGTGCTGGCTGGAGCCTAGGCCGGATCTGTTTTGCATTACATTGCAGAAGAATGTAATGTGGGCTTCTTCCCAGGCGACCTCACAGGATGTCAACCTCGGGCCCCCGGGCCTTAAGAAGGCCGGTGCCAGGGACAGAGATAGCATCTACTTTGAAGGCAAACCGTGCTCACAGCAGCTGGGTGGAGTCTGTTGGGTTCTGGAAGGGCAACTCACAGAATAAGGTACAGCCTGACAGAGTCAGACCTCAGTCCCCAGCCGCCCAGCCCCGCATTTTCCCAAAGAAAGCCCAGAGGCTCAGAAAGGAAGGATACTTGCCCGAGGACACATAACAAATCACGGTGAGAGTCAAGATTAAAACAAGGCATCTCACCACTATCACACTACCACATCTGAATCCCAAACTAAGCTTTTTATAACCCTTTTCAACATAATCAATAACTGTTACAGTTGGCAATTCAGAGGTCCTGCACTCTTAAGCGGAGAAAGAAGGGAAGTCAATCCCATTTGTCAAGTGCTACAAAAGGCTAAACTCTGTGCCATTTTGCATATAATTGATTCCATTTAAATGTCATTTTCATAAGATGACTTGTGAAAGGGCTCAGCCACCCTTAGTTCTTACCCAGTGCAACAGTTTTCCTGATAAGTAGACCTTATCATCCCTATTTTTTTTTTTTTTAAGATGAGAGTCTCCCTGTCACGCAGGCTGGAGTGCAATGGCGCGATCACAGCTCACTGCAACCTCTGCCTCCAGGTTCAAGCGATTCTCCTGCCTCAGTCTCCTGAGTAGCTGGGATTACAGGTGCCCACCACCATGCCCGGCAAATTTTTGCATTTTTAGTAGAGACGGAGATTCACCATGTTGGCCAGGCTGGTCTCGAACTCCTGACCTTGTGATCCGTCCGCCTTGGCTTCCCAAAGTGCTAGAATTACAGCCGTGAGCCACCGTGCCCGGCTAGCATTCCTATTTTTATGAACAAAGAAGCCAAGACACAGCAAGGTTAAATAACTCATTCACGGCCGATATTCTTTCCTATGCCAGACTGCCATTTGAAAAGATGAGTTCTCTAAATCCAGGTGTTCTCATGAACTTTTATTATTGCTGATGTCAATCATAAATTAAAAGCTTAGGTCAATTATCTAAACATCAGATTATCAGAATGTGTTGTTTCCTTTTAATCTCAATGTGTGATCATGCCATCTATCTCTGCTGATGTTTCCTTGTTGTCCTTTCTGCTTTTATTCTTTCATTAATTTAGCAAACATCTGTTGAGCATGCTGGGGATACCCAGATTTTAAAAACAAGGCCATATGCCCCTTTCTTGTGACATTACTGGAAAATGAGCTCCTCACAAATAAGAAGGTAAACCAAGAAGGAGGAAGGCGAGGGCTTTGGAAGCCAGGAGCTCCAACACAGAAGGATGGTGAAGGCAATGCCTGGGAGGCTGCAGGGTTCTCCAGAGGAAGGCTACATGCCCAGTGCATAGGGAGGGCAGCTGGCCCACATGCTGCAGGGCGCAGCCCTGGGACAGGCTTCAGCAGAAAGACAAATTCGATAGGAGACCTGATCATCTACATCACCAAGGAGGAGATTTAGAACTTTGGCAGAGTTTGAACCTTTATTATTACTTAATACAATGAAAACAAAACAAATGGACTCACGCCTGTAATCTCAGCACTTTGGGAGGCTGAGGTGGGTGGATCACTTGAGGCCAGGAGTTCAAAACCAACCTGGCCAACTTGGTGGAACCCCACCTCTATTAAAAATACAAAAATTAGCCAGGCATGGGGGTGGGCACCTGTAATCCCAGTTACTAGGGAGGCTGAGGCAGGAGAATTGCTTGAACCCAGGAGGCAGAGGTTGCAGTGAGCCGAAATCAAGCCACTGCACTCCAGCCTGGGCAACATAGTAAGACTCCATTTCAAAACAAACAAACAAAAACCAACAATAATAAAAAACAAAACAAATGGAAAAATAAGACAGTTACTAACTCCAGGAAAGTAAAGGCAATCACACTGTACTTCAGGGCACAGTTATAAACCTAGTTTATATTTTCATATGGAAACAAAGAATGATGAACAAGCGATACTAGTATATAATAACAGTGGGAGGATATGGAGTGAAAGAGTGTGTATATGAGGGGAGGCCACGGCACAAGAAGAAAAAGCTAAACTCATCTTTCATGGTGGGAATTCAAGATTTAATGCTTAAAACTAAAAAATCAAAACAGAAACACAAGCATATTAGGGACAACATTTGTGGACTATTTGACTCTCCAAATTATGTGGATGTGTAACTTTGGTAAACACAGAAACTCAAATTCAAAAGTCATTGATGAATTTGATTGCAAAGTAAGACATTGTGTTTGTTGTCAAAGGGTTAACAACGTCCTTGGGAGGCTGTCAGGCCAAGTCATAATTGAAGCATACCTGGGATGCTCTGACCCTTCTGTGGGTCGTTGAGAGGTGGAGCAAGAGGTTAAGGAAGTTCACAGGTGAGGGGAGGGGCAATGTCTTGAGTGGATGCAGCTGTGAAAGGGAGGGAGCGTGAGGAATTGGTATCACAAACATTGACAGCGTGAAAGCCAGAGAAGGTGGTAGAACGCTGGGGAGATAATCCTGGTCCTGTCTAGCGAGATAGACAAGATTCAAAAGTGAGCCTGAACCAGACCCAGTTTGAACACCAGCTGCTGTACTTACAGACCACATTAGTAACTACTCTGAGCCTCACTTTCCACAATCTAAAGAAGAGAAAAATAGTAGCTCCCACCCAGGATTGTTCTTATACTTGATTCAGACACATTTATAAAGCCTCCACTATGAAATACTTACTGCATCTCAGGCCCTGAATAAAACCAGCCCTCAAACACACCATCAGTGAAACCAACAAGGTCGGTAGTATTTCTTGTTTCTTGAAAGTACATGCGGAGATCATCTATTCAAGTCTACAGGGTGACTGACTCAATGTTAGAAAGAAATGAAAAAAGTGCGTGCAAGGAAAATGGCGTTAATGGATGGTTTGACTGCGTCTTCAAAACCTACACACAGACCCAGGAAATTTCATTCAAGGATTAGCTGCATAGTAGGATCAACAAGCTGGATATAAGCATTCATTCTTTTCAGACATTGAGTTGTTCTGTTGATTTGAACCTCAGAAACCTACAGGCAACTGGCTTTCTTTAATTTTCTCAGGTCCTCATCCCTGTTTACCTCTTCTGTCTCTCTCTGCCTCAAGCCCAGAAACAACCCTTCTCCTTTTCCCTTTCTCCCAATGCTGCCTCTTCCCTCTCCCCGCTCCTCTTCAATAAAACCCTCACTAAACTCCAGGCCTTGCCTCTTCTGTCATCAGTCTGTGCACAAATAATAGTCCACGCAGCTGGGTGCAATGGCTCCCGCCTGTAATCCCAGCACTGTGGGAGGCTAAGGCAGGCAGATCACCTGAGGTGAGGAGTTCGAGACCAGCCTGGCCAGCATGATGAAACCCCACCTCTACTAAAAATACAAAAATTAGCCAGGCATGGTGGCCGGCACCTATACTCCCAGCTACTAGGGAGGCTGAGGCAGGAGAATTGCTTGAACCCAGGAAGTGGAGGTTGCAGTAAGCCAAGATCGTGCCACTGAACTCCAGCCTGGGTGACAGAGCAAGACTCTGTCTCAAATATATATGTATTATATATATAAAATATATATATTTATATATTTTAAAATATGTATAATAATTTATATAATATATATTTTATATACATATAAAATAGTCCAAACCTATATATAAAATAGTCCACACCTATATATATAAAATAGTCCACACCTATATATATATTTTATATATATATAAAATATATAAATATATATAATATATATAAAATATATAATATATATAAAATATATATATAATATATATTATATATAATATATATTATATATAATATATATATATAGAAAAAATAGTCCATACGAATATTTGTCCCAAAGACTTAAGACTTTTTAAAAAAGATTTAATGTTTCCATAACAAACAAAAATTGGATTCAGCCTTAGGAAACATATAATCAGAGGCTGACTTCCCAGACTTTCAGGGGATAGGAATGGGTGGGAAGGGAGCTTCACAAAATCAATATAAATGATATTTACTTGTAGTATTTTGGAGGAGAAGCGGGGGCAGGGCAGTAGAGGAAAGGGAAAAAAATGTATCTGAGCAAGAGAGGTATAATTTAGAAGCTGCCACGCAGTAAGTAGGAATTTCCGAGGAGGATAGATCATTTTTTACAGGTTTGACAAGAAGCTGATGGAGAGAAATCTTGACCAGACTTGCACCTGTTCTTCAAGGAGGATGAAAAATGCTGCCCTCCTCACCAAGCCCCGTTCCCAGTGGGCGGAAGAGGGGAAGGGCTCGGTGGCACGGGGGGACCACCCTCTGCAAAGCCTTTATATATGATCTCTAAGCTGGAGGGCAACAGTGAATAGTATGTCTTATACCATCACTAACATAATGTATCTGTGAATCATAGATAACATTTATTGGGCATTTGCCATGTGCCAGACACTGTGTTAAATATTTTGCAGGCAATCTTATTAAATTCTCATAACAATTCCACGAAGGAATCTCTACGATGTTCTGATTTACAGATGAGAAAAATGAGGCTGAAAGAGGTGGCCACTTGCCCAGGCAAAGCCAGGACTCAGAAAAACGCAGGTTTTCCCTGACTGTGGAGTCCCACTGCTATGGCAGAATAATTTTTTTTTTTTAGACCGAGTTTTTCTCTGTCTCCCAGGCTGGGGTGCAATGGTGTGATCTCGGCTCACTGCAACCTCCGCCTCCCAAGTTTGAGCGATTCTCCTGCCTCAGCCTCCTGAGTAGCTGGGATTACAGGTGTGTGCCACCATGCCCAGCTAATTTTTGTATATTTAGTAGAGACGGGGTTTCACCATGTTGGCCAGGCTGGTCTCAAACTCCTGACCTCAGGTGATCCACCTGCCTTGGCCTCCCACAGTGCTGGGATTACAGACATGAGCCACCATGCCCAGCCATAATTTTTTAATAAGTACTGACTTGTGTGTGTTTTTCCTGAATTTTCACAAGCTCTCCACAGAGTTAGACAGTCCTGCCTCAGGGGTTTCTGTAGGACAGTAAGCAAAATGCTACCTGAAAATTAAATCTCTTGCTGTATTTTGTAGACACCAAAATGCAGAGATGATGCTGAGTGTCTTAGATGGACCTTTTAAAGTAGCCCAGGACCGAAGAGTAATGAGAAATTTCTCCCAGCCTAGGAGGGGGGCCCTGGAGTTTTGTTGGTGGAGGTGGCAGGACCCGCAAGGCACAGCTCCATGGTGCCTTAGGAAGGCCACATGTAGGAGGGCCAGGGGCTCTCAGCCTCCCCTGGGACCCGGTGTGGGAAGCAGAGGAGAGGACCTCAGTCGTGGCTGGAATCTAATTTCCTTCACCTGGAAGGATGGGAGCATAACGAAGGATTTAAGATCATTTTAAACAAAAGAAAGTGGTATTTCTCACACAAATAAATTTATGTACTAAGATTTCTATGCATTACAAAATAGGTAAGTAGGCGGTCCCCCAACTCCTCCCTTCTATGTGCTCAGCCTACTGATAGGAGTTTGGCTGGGTGAGGTCAGGGAATTGGCATAAAAAGTTGATAACGCCCAGTTTCACCTTCACCTGCTACACAGAAGAAAATGGTTCTTCACACTATCAAAAACTTCTCCTCCCCACCCCACCCCTGGCCGAGGAATAACCTGCTGGGCTCCCCGCCTGACTCCAGGAGGGCCCACCACATCATGTACAAGGAGCCTTGGAATCTGTCACTGTGCGGGGCGGGGAAGCATTGCTCAAATGCACAGCCGGCTGCCAGAGCCCCAGCCAGAAACTCTCTCCAAAGCTACCTTATTCCCTTCCCCCAAAGCTTGAACATTTGTAAACAGAAGAAAATATCATTTTTTTAAGAACAGGCTTATCTGACCCTCCAATCCCCATAAGACACCCCTTTCTACACTCTCATTGCACCTTTCACTTCCCCTTCCCATCACCATTTGAACTGACGTGTTTATCTGCGTAATTACTTGCTATTCGTCTCCTGTGTTAGAAGCTCCATGAAGAGAGGGACTAAGAAGCCTTGTCCTCTGCTGCATGCCTAGCACGTAGCACAATTTCAGGAGCACAGTGCTCACGTTATACTTTCTGAGTAACTGAATGAACCATGGGCGAATGAGCATGGAACAATCACAGTTGGCAAAATCTCAGCGATCACACAGCCCAGTGCCCTGAGAAGCCCAAGCTTAGTGAGGCTAAACAACTTGCCTGAGATTCCAGAGAGAGTTGGTGGTCAAGCCCATGCTAAAAGCCAAGGACTCCAGACAGATCTTTGAGTGACTTTCTTCTTCTGACTCTGTCATTCTAAGTGTCCAAATTCATCATAGACAGACCAAGACCAAATTCCCACCTGTCCATACAAGTACCCTTGTCCTTCCTTGATCCTCTCAAGCTCACCTGTTTCAATATTGTCACAAGCCCCTCTTATCTAAATTTTTGGTGCCTTCTGTCCCCTAGTGTCTCAGTATTTCCAATGCCCAAGAAAAGATGATTGCTTTCTCTCTTATTCTAAAGAGTTTCGTCTTTTAACATGATAGTTGAAGGCTTTAAGATTCATCCTGTTCAGCCGATGTTCACTGAGCACTCACAGATGTGGACACTGTTTTAGTGCCCAGGGTAAAACAACAAGCAAAATAAGCCCCTTGTGCCACACATATTCTGTTGCCAGAGACAGATCATAAAGATAAACCAGCAAATCAATTAGTTTTAGATAATGCAGTGTCAGGAAGAAAATAAAATATGGTAAGAAGTTAGAGGCCGGAGTGCTATTTTTGATCGGGAGTTAGAGAGGACTTCTCTGAGAAGGCCTCGTGTAAGCTGAGCTTGAATTGGAAGAACATGCCAGCCTGCAGAGTTCTTGGGGACAATATTCCAGCAGACGGCCCAGAGGAACTGGCCAGTCTGCTGGAGCAAAGCACATGAGGCTTGTACGGTCAGTAAGGTGGGCAAAGGGCAGATGACAGAGGGTTTTGCAGGCTGTGAGGATGACTGGATTTTATTCTATGGGTATCAGGGAGCCGCTATTGGAGGTTTCTAAGTAGAGGAGTGATGTGATCTTCTCACATTTCAAAACAACCACGCTGGCTGCCATGTAGAGAATGGCCTAGGAGTGGGGATGCAAGAGCAGACAGACAAATCAAGAGGCTGCTGGTGTGGCCCAGCCCGGAGAAGAGTGTTCGGGACTAGGTGGGGAGCAGGGAAGCAGCAAGGGGCTCCTGTGGGGTGTGTTGGAGAGGTGGAGCTGGCGTGTCTTGCTGATGGACTGGATGTGCGCTGTGAAGGACAGAGAGGAGTCAGATAGGACATTCTTTGGTTTGTTTGTTTGTTTGTTTAGTTTTTGTTTTTGTTTTGAGTCAGAGTTTCGCTCTTGTTGCCCAGGCTGGAGTGCAGTGGGGTGATCTCGGCTCACCGCAACCTCCGCCTCCCAGGTTCAAGCGATTCTCCCTCAGCCTCCCGAGCAGCTGGGATTACAGGAATGTGCGACCACATCTGGCTAATTTTGTATTTTTAGTACAGACGGGGTTTCTCCATGTTGGTCAGGCTGGTCTTGAACCCCCAGGTGATCCACCCGCCTGGGCCTCCCAAAGTGCTGGGATTACAGGCGTGAGCCACCGTGCCCGGCCAAGGATGTTTTCAATCTTGGCTTCAGTGTAGGTGATTGTGGCACATTTACTAACATGGAGAAGACTGGGAAAGCGGCACATTTGTGGTGGTGCGGTCACCAAGAGTTGGTTTGGATGCATGAAGCTCAAGAGGTCTGTTAGCCCAGTGGAGATGCCAAGTAAGTGGCCAGATATGCAGCCCAAGGAACACACAATAACTGAGGAATTTCTGAAGTCTAAGAGGATTTCGAACTTCAGCCAAGGCTGGGCGTAGGGATGAGAAGGAGAGGCCTCCGGTTCTTCTCAAGTCTCATCACCCAGCAGTGGACGAGCGACGCTCATTGTATTAGCACAGGGACCTCTTTAACTTGGTCTTCCAGGAAGCTGGCCCAGGTCTAACCTCTCAGATGCTAATTTCACAGCAGACATCTAATGAATTCCTTAGCGTGTTTGAATGTCGAAGGTTTACCATTACTCACAGCAATGAATCATGGAATGATTACAATCTGGACTTTTTTCTTTAATTGGTAAAATGGTATGGTCTTTCTTCCTCCTGCTGTCTGTAAGTCTGCCTCCAACCATGGGGTCTCCAGGGCCTAATCTAGGAGGTGCAGTGGACACAGCTGTTGTTCCCCATACACAAGACTGTCCTCGCCTTGCCCCTGCTTGCTTGCTTGTTGGTGAAGCCCATCTCCCACCCCAGAGGATCGAAATGCCAGTACTCTGTTGTCAATCTTCTTTGAAGCTGGAGCATAGAAGTAGAACCCGATCTTGGCCAAGGGAGCTGGCCTGAGTGGAAACCTGCTAAGAGTCTTCTGCAAATGTTTTCCTCTCTAATAAAAGAGCACATTTCCTCTTCCTCACTGGGTGTGGTTGGGTCAGCCCGTGTCACTGGAATTGTAGCTGCCCCCTTGTGTGATTAGGAGGATGGCAGAGCAGAGGGCTGGGATGTACCTAGACCACTCAGGACACTGGGGAGCCCCATGTCTGTCCTGGAAGCCCTTGTGCAAGGCTTATTTTGAGGTGCTAAGGTAAGCATCGTTATTTTTAAAGCTGATTAGACTTGGGTCTTCTTTTCCTTCCATATACTTAGGTTTCCCACCTGGCTCACATTCTCCCCTTCAAGCACAAAAACTCCTTTGTGCTAACCACCCTCACTTATCCATTCATCCTGCTATGTGCTGGGCACTCAGTGGAACGTGCGGAACGGAAGAAATAGACTCGTCTTGGTAGCACCCGTCTTCGTGGGTCAAATAGACTGGTGTGGAGACAAACATCACACAGGTGACGAATAAACATATGATTACCAATTGTGACGCATGCACCTGGCAGGGACGGCGTGGTATGCAATGAAAGAAAGCGACAGCAGGACTGTGTTCCCGTCTGATCGTCTGAGAAGGTGTCTCTGAAGGGGGGACATTTAAACTACAACCTGAGCCCGGGCACAGTGGCTTACACCTGTAATCCCAGCACTTTGGGAGGCCAAAGTGGGTGGATCACCTGAGGTCAGGAGTTCGAGACCAGCCCGGCCAATATGGCAAAACCCCGTCTCTATTAAAAATAGAAAAATTAGCCAGGCTTGGTGTCACGCATCTGTAGTCCCAGTTACTCAGGAGGCTGACACAGGAGAATTGCTTGAACCCAGGGGGCAGAGGTTGCAGTGAGCCAGGATCGTGCCACTTCACTCTAGCCTGGGCAAAAGGGTGAAACTCTGTCTCAAAAATAAATAAATAAATACTACAACCTGAGAGACAAGAAGGATCCAAACAGGCAAAAGAGTGCAAAGTAGCATTTCAACAAGAGGGGACAACCAAAAATGCAACATTTGCTTCCATCTCCTTTTTTTTTTTTTTTTTTTTTTGAGACAGAGTCTTGCTCTGTTGCCCAGGCTAGAGTGCAGTGGCGCGATCTCAGCTCACTGCAACCTCCACTTCCCAGGTTCAAACGGTTCTCCTGCCTCAGCCTCCCAAGTAGCTGAGATTACAGGCACACGCCGCCACGCCCGGCTAATTTTTTTGCATTTTTAGTAGAAATGAGGTTTCACCATGTTGGTCAGGCGGGTCTCAAACTCCTGACCTTAAGTAATCTGCCCGCCTTGGCCTCCGAAAGTGCTGGGATTACAAGAGCTGCCTCCTTCTTGAACAGAGGCTTCTGAGCATCCCGTACCCTCTTCCAGACAACCTAGTGCAATCACTGTGGATCTTAGGTAGCTGAGGCCGCAGGACACAGAAGGGGTGTTTGCCGCTTTCACTAAGCTGCCAAGGTTGCTATATCCCGCGTGTCTCTCTGCAGCAGCACTGACCACCCAGACCCATCACCCGTGGGTCATTAACAAAGCTTTAGAGCAGTTCCGCACCAGCCCTCAAGCAGACAAAACCAAGAAAAAGGGACCCTTTCCCTCTGAGTTTGTCCAAGAATGCCCTTTTATTGATTAATTTATTTACTTGTTTGTTTGTAAGGCACCTTCAGATTCTGCTTTTCTGGGGAATGAGAATTAATGCTGGAAAATAGCATTCAGGTTTTCCCTCGCACGTCTTCCACCCTCCTTGGTGGTTCATCTGTGGTCTGGAGAACTGTGTTTGAGAAAGGAAAATCAACTCTAGTGGCCCAGAGTCAGGCAGACCATGATTACCCTGTTGTCCAGGCTGGTCTCTATCCTTAAAAGTCCAGGAACGACCTCAAGCAAAGCTCTAATGGTTACATAATTTCTCTTAGGCAGAAACAGAGTGTCTGTTAGAGCTGGCACTCCTAATTCAACAACCTCATTTCACACAATGGGAGACTGGAAAATAAAGCAGAGAAGTCTGCACAGTTCAGCAGAGGCAGGGCTGGCACCCAGGCCCTGGGGACTTCCAGTTCACTTTTCTCCCTGAACCATGCAGTTCACTCACAAATCCCCAACACATTCTGTTCAGATGACCCAGGTGATTCCCACCCCGCCCGCCACTTCCAGAAGGGTTACACTGTCATAGTTTGTGTCATAAACCTATGTCTATGCGCTTCTGATCCAGGCAGAGCTGCTTCCAACAAGGGCTACTCAAAGAGGCCTCGGCTGGGAGTGACCACCCTAAACCTGCCCTGCGATTTCCGGGATAACCTTTTGAGTCTTCCCAGCTTGTGGGATCACTGGGACGGGGTGAAGGAAACATGGACAGCAGTGTGTTCTGTTTTCAGTAACTCTACTTCACCCAGCATCTCCCCCCACCACTCTTTTCTCCCTCATCCTCTCCATCCCCTCCTCTAGTTCCTCCTCTCCTGCCACCACCACCCCCTCCACTTCCTCCTCCATCTCCTCCACACCTCCACCACCAGCACCCTTCAACCCCTGTCTCCACTGTCTCCTTCTCCACCTCCCTCAGCCCCTCCAAGCCTCCTCTACTTCCTCCTTCACTGCCGCTGCCACCTCCACCACCTTCTTCATGCCCTCCACACCAACACCACTAACCCCCTCCCCTCCAGCACCCCACCCCCCCTACCTCCACCTCCTCTGCACAAACACCCATACCAGCCCCACTGCCCCGGCTCTGCTTCCTCCTCCAGCAACACCCCCAGCTGCTCCTCTCTCCACTCCTCCTCCGCTGCCCGTACGTCCACACCACTTCCAGCAGCAGCTCCACCACCACCTAATCTGTAGCATTAAGATAGGTCTTCTAACCAAATATGCCTCTAGGACCTTGATGCTTCCAAAACAAAACGGGTGATCAGTATTTTAATCTATAGCCAGAGTCACTGAGATTTAGCATACATTTGAAATGAACCAGGATCGACTCCTTCTATTTTTGCTCATTTTGAAATTACTTATCTAACCACACACACCCATGCACATGCAAACGCGCACACACACACAGACACACACGGGCTCCACACACAGGCTCCTGATCTCTCTCTCTTTCTCACCAGAAGACCATAGGTACTCTGAAATGAAGCAAACAATGGTGGCCTTGTTACAGAAGCCTGATATTAATAGACTATTCCTTTTGATTTCAGCCTGGAAACATTGGCACCGAACCAATATTAGAAAGGAGGGACTGTGCAGCGGAAGTTTAAAAGAGAGAGGGAGAAAAAAAATCCAACCCAGCTTTGATCAGAAGGGTCTGAAGATGAATCGTGGTCATTTCATAGGTCTCTGGGTGGAGGTTAATGTCATTTTGAGACAAGGAAACTGGGTTTAAAAAAAATAAGGAAGCTGAGAAGAGATGAACTTTCTGATGGAACAGGGCCACCTCACCAAGAGGATCAAAGCTGCTCGCCATGCAGAGGCGAATGAAGGATTATTCACTTTCTATTTTTTCACGCCTGCAGCACACATGGGGATCTAATTGGTCAGGATGCGAAATACAGCCAGCCAGCCCCCGCAGCAGGGCAGAGCCCACGGGGGAAGCTGGTGCTTGCTGCAGCTGCAAACCATTAAAGGCAGGCTCAGCACCCTGTGCCACTTTAACTGCTCCTGTGTGCGTTTCCTCAACTTACAGCCCCCAGCATCTACCTGCAAGCCTTTCTGATCTCAGAGGCGATGAGCTTGACGGCTGCCAGGCCCCGCCGCCAGGACTCAGGGAATGCAAGAGAGGAGCCTTGGGGGAGGGCAACGCACAGTCCCTGGAGGGAGGGGCCGCTGGGCTGTGAGAAGGCTGGGACTGTGGCCCCTGGGGTGGCATTGCCTCAGTTTTAACCCACATCACCGGACAACAAGGAGTAAAACAAAGTGAGGGCCTGAAAACCCACACCACTGTGCATTGCGACCATAGGCACAGTACTCAACCTCTCCGACCCTTCATTTTCTTGCCTTTGAAATGGGGTGTGTGCCTAGCCCACAACACAGCTGTGAGGATTAAATGACATCAGGGATCGTTGACTAATGAGGGGAGTGTCTATTGGTTATTGTCATGGATCACACCCCTCCTTCAACCTTCTCTGACAACCTCTTGAACTACTTTAGGTCCAGTTTCTTCCAATTTCCCTTCCAGTCTTCTCCACCCTTCCTCCCTAGTGAAACCTTCCCTGCTTGCTGAGGTCAGCAGGATCGTAGAGCTCTCACTTGCCCCACTGAACCCCACTAGTCATTCATCTCAGGCTCCCATCTTTCTCTCTTAGCTGTCATCCTCGGGCACATCCTCCCAGCGGGCGTTGCCACCTCCAGTCTCCCCATACCTCCTCCTCAACCGCCCGTTATCCACATATATGAAGCTATACAACACAAGCCCACCCATTCATACAGCCCACCCTCTGCTGAGCACTCAGGAGCAGCACCCTGTCGCTTACAGGGTAAATCCTGAGCCCCTCAGTTCTGCTCCCTGTCCCCAAACCCCTAACTGTCCTGTTCGCAGCTGTCCCCTTAGCGAGGAATGCCATCAATCTTCTTCTGGTCTGCCTCATCCTGCAAGACACAGCTGAGGTGTGACCTCTTCTGGGTAGTCTCCCCTAATGCCAGACAGTAGCCTCGGCTAAGCATCGTACGTGTGTTTCCACACTGTCCTACCTCGACCACATGGAACTGAAATCATGGGCTTGCCTAAGTCTCTCCTCCACGTGAAGGTGAGCTTTTGAGAGACAGGAATGTATTCTAACTCATCTTTGTAGTCTCAGCATGTAGCATGTTTAGCCCAGTGCCTGGAATATAGCGTGCACTCAATAAGTGTATTGTGAACTCATTCATGGCTATCAATTGTTACTTGTCTCTCTGCCTAAACTGTCCAATTAAGTTGAAAGCATCTGGAGCACCGGGAATGTGTCTGACTCATTTTGTATTCTGCACAATGCCCAGTACATAGCAGAGCCTCAACACGGAGTTGCTGGTTCTGTGGGGCACCGTTAGCGATAATGCCCCTGCTGTGTTCTGTGCTGTTTTCTCAGCATCTAAGACCAAGCTCTGCACATAGTAGGGGCTCAATAAATATATTTTGAAAGAATAAATAGTGTATCTTTGTAGGAAAAACACCTGTTCTGGTCAGAATATGCAATGGGTTGGATGGTTATGACCCCCCACCCCAATTCATATGTTGAAATCCTAACTCCCAAAGCAATGGTGTTAGGAGGTGGGGCCTCTGCTGGGCGCTTAGGTCATGAGGGGTGGCACCCTCATGAATGGGATTCCTGCTCCTATAAAAGAAGCCTGAGAGAGCTCCTTCACCCCTTCTACCACGTGAGGTTACGGCAAAAAGAAACCTGTCTATAAGGAAGTGGATCCTCACCAGACACTTGATCTGCCAGTGCCTCGATGTTGGACTTCGCAGCCTCCAGAACTGTGATAAACTTCTGTTGTTTATAAGCCACCCAGTCCATGGTATTTTGTTACAGCAGCCCCAACAGACTAAGACAGAAAGCCTGGGTTCTAGTCAGAGGTAACAAACCCAAAATTAACAAGGCCAAAAGATAACTTCTGATTTTCTCCAAAACTCCATTTCTCATTCCAAAGCCCCAGCAAAAATTCTCCATCTTGAAAAATGTAGCACCAACATCCACCTAGTTACTCAGACCAAAATCTAGGAGTAATATCTGATTTGCCATAAATCTCACATCCCACTTTGAATTCACTGGCAAATTCTACAAGTCCTGCTTCCAAAATGTGTCCAACCTCTGACCCTCATCACCTTTAGAGCCCCAACCCTACTTCCAGGTACCATGATCTTGACCTTGTAGCTGGTCTCCCTGTCCACATACATGATGTGCTCTTTTCATTTTAATCACCTTGATCTTTCTGATATACCTCCAAAGCCATTCCACTTTACTTAGAATGAAGTGCAAACTTCTTTTTTTTTTTTTCCTTTGAGACAGCGTCTCCCTCTGTTGCCCAGTCTGGAGTGCAGTGGCACAATCTTGGCTCACTGCCACCTCCACCTCCCGGGTTCAAGCAATTCTCCTGCCTCAGCCTTCTGAGTAGCTGGGATGACAGGCACATGCCACCACGCCTGGTTAATTTTGTATTTTTAGTAGAGACGGGGTTTCACCATGTTGGCCAGGCTTGTCACGAACTCCTGACCTCAAGCAATCTGTCTGCTTCAGCCTCCCAAAGTGCTGGGATTACAGGTGTGAGCCACCATGCCCGGCCGAAGTGCAAACTTCTAATCATGGTCTACAAACCTCATGCAATCCAGCCCTGCCAACTTCCTCCTTTTCTGATCCTCTCCTTGCTATTTTCTTCCAAACATACTGGTCTTTTTGCTGTTCCTAAAGTATTCAGGTTTGTTCTCACCTCAGAACTTTCTATTCCCTCTACCTAGAAAGCTCTTCCCCAAATATTCATATTTCTTTGTTCAAATGTCACTATTTCAGTGAAGCCTTCACCAATCCTAGGTGTGATATTAATTGTATATGTCAATTTCACTGGGCCATGGGGTGCCCAGATATTTGGTCAAACATTTTCTGGGTGTGTCTGGGAGGGTGTTTTGGATGAGATTAAAATTTGAATTGATAGACTGAGTAAAACAGATTGGTCTTCCTAATGTGAGTGGCTTTCATCCAATCAACTGAAGGCCTGCATAGAACAAAAAGGTTGACTTCCCTTAAGAAAGAATTTTCTTCTGCCTGGCTTCCTTGAGCTGAGACATCAGTCTTTTTCTACTTTCAGACTCCAGCAGAATCATCTGCTCCTCCAGGGTCTTAAGCCTGCTGGCTTTTGGACTCCAACTTACACCACTGGCTCTCCTAGTTCTCAGGACTTCAGGCTCAGATTGGAACTACACTGTCTCCCTCCAGCTTGCTGGCTTTGTGGGACTTCTTGGCCGCCTTAATTGTATGAACCAATGCCTTATAATAAATCTTTCTCTCTCTCTATCTATACATGCACTGTTAGCTCTGTTTCTCTGGAGAACCCTAACTAATACACTAGGCAAAACCGTATCCCTCCACCCACCTCATGCAATTCTTCTTTATCTATTTCTTGACTGTTTGTGCCTGTCTCTTCTCAACCAGAATGGAGGCCCCTTTTTCATCACTGTATCTCTAGACGCATGCATGGCACACAGGGGGTCCTCAGTAAATACTGGTTGACTGACTCTTTTCCCTCATTAGCCATGTGACTTTGCACAGTTCATTTGACCTCTGAGCCAATTTCTTCACCATTACAACAGGCATGGCATCTTGTCTACGTAACACCAGGGCTGTTTGAGAGGATCCCCAGGCACACAGCTGTGAAAGTGCTCCTTACAAATGTAAGTTTTCTCCGTACTAAGGGTTGTGTCTCATTCATCTTTGCACCCCCATCCCCTCTTTCCCTCCCCTCCACCCTTCCCCCCACCCTCTACAGATGCTCAGTAGATGTTTATTTTCAACGAGTTAAATCATTCTATGGCTATCTCAATTTTAGTCAGTTACATCAGTTATGATGACACAAGAAATATCTACTCATCGCTGAATACCTTAATGCCTAAGAAACTTTGGTCAGAAAAGAATGAAAGGTAAAGTTGGGGGATCCATAGCATGAATTTGGTCATATCTAGTCTAACAAGATTAATAGGAAACTTAAAAAAGCTTTACGGTATACAATGAAATGGGCTCTCTCATTTGCTAATAAGCATGCAAATTGGTGCAACCACTTTGGAAAGCAATTGGACTATATCAAAATGTTCATACCATTTAAGTCAGCAAAGTCTCCCTATCCTAGATGTTTCCATGTGACACAGACTCTGATCTAAATATAAAAACAAAAACTATCAAACTTTTAGAAGAAAGCAAAGGTGTAGATCTTCTTGACCATGGTCTAGACAATAGATTTTTTAGATAGGATACCAAAAGCTCAAGCAACTAAAGAAAAAATAGATAAATCGGACCTCATCAAAATTTAAAACTTTTGTGCATCAAAAGACACCATAAAGAAAGTAAGAAGACAACCCACAGAATGGAAGAAAATGCTTGCATTTTCTCCATATTTCTGATAGGGGATTTTTATCCAGAATATAAACAGAATTCTTGTAACTTAAGAATAAAAAGAAAAATAACACAATTTTAAACTGTGCAAAGAATTTGAATAAACATTTCTCCAAAGAAGATAAATACACAAACATCCAAGAAGCACGTGAGAAGATGCTAAACATACTAGTCACCAGGAAAATGAAAATAAAAGCCACAATGAGATACCACTTCACACCCACTATGATGGATGTTGAAAAATTAAAAAGGAAAGTAGCAAGTGTTGTGAAAATATTGGAAAGCTTGCACAGTGCCGGTGGAAATGTAAAATGGTGCAGCCGCTTTGGAAAACAGAGGGGCAGTTCCTCAGAAGGCTAAACCCAGAGTCACCATATGGCTGGCAGTTCCACTCTTAGGTTTATCCTCAAGGTTGGTGAAAACATGTCCACACAAAACTTCTACATGGGCTGGGCGCGGTGGCTCATGCCTGTAACCCCAGCACTTTGGGAGGCCGAGGCGGGTGGATCACTTGAGGTCAGGAGTTCGAGACCAGCCTGGCCAACTGAAGAAACCCTGTCTCTACTAAAAATACAAAAATTAGCCAGGCATGGTGGCACACGCCTATAATCCCAGTTACTTGGGAGGCTGAGATAGGAGAATTGCTTGAACCGGGGAGGCGGAAGTTGCAGTGAACCAAGATCACGCCACTGTACTTCAGCCTAGGTGACAGAGTGAGACCTTGTCTCAAAAAAAAAAAAAAAAAACAAAAACAAAACTTGTACATGAATGTTCAGAGCAGCAATGTTTATAATAGCCAAAAGGTGGAAGAGAAGCTTTAAATGTCCATTAATTGGTGAATGGATAAACAAAAGTGATACATCTACACAATGCAATATTATTTGGCCATAAAAAGGAATCAAGAACTGATACCTGTGATAACATAAATGAACTTTGAAAATACTATGATAAGAGAAAGAGGCCAGACACAAAGGGTCACCTATTTTGTGGTTCCATTTACATGAAATGTTCAGAATAGACAAATCCATAGAAATAGAAAATAGATTAGTTGTTGTCAGGGGCTGCAGAGGGAGGAATGGGTATGGAATTTCTTTCTAGGGTGACAGAAATGTTCTGGAATGAGATAGTGATGATAGTTGTATAACTGTGAATATGCTGAAGTCTACAGCATCGTACACTTTAAAAAGTAAATTTTATGATACCTGAATTATATCTCAAAAAGCAATTATTTAAGAAGTGCTCATTGTAGCATTATTTATACTAGTAAAAAATAAAGTAGTCAAAATATCCTTTTATTAAAAAGAATATTAACTAATAATGAATTTATTTGTTAATTACACAGCCATTCAACTGTATCTATAAAATTTCATCATACCATGTAGAAGGATTATAAAATAATATTAAGTAAGATATAGTCACGACGATTTTTTTTTTTTTTTTGAGATGGAGTCTCGCTCTGTGGCCCAGGCTGGAGTGCAGTGGCGTGATCTCGGCTCACTGCAAGCTCCGTCTCCTGGGTTCACACCATTCTCCTGCCTCAGCCTCCCAAGTAGCTGGGACTACAGGTGCCCACCACCACACCCAGCTAATTTTTTGTATTTTTAGTAGAGACGGGGTTTCACCATGTTAGCCAGGATGATCTCCATCTCCTGACCCCGTGATCTGCCCTCCTCAGCCTCCTAAAGTGCTGGGATTACAGGCGTGAGCCACCGCGCCCACCAGTCACGACTCTTTTTTAAAGCATGTCTGTCTGGGTGTTTTTGTTTAAGTCTGGAAGAAAGCATACCAAACTTTTAACCAATGTTGGCTATAGGGAGTGAGACATGAATAATTTCTTCTTTTTTCTACTTTTCTATATTTTCTAAACTTTCTTCCAACATGATTATTTTTATTATTGTTATTTTTTTGAGACAGAGTCTCGCTCTGTCACCCAGGCTGGAGGGGCAGTGGCATGATCTCAGCTCACTGCAAACTCCGCCTCCCAGGTTCAAGCAATTCTCCTGCCTCAGCCTCCCAAGAGGTGGGATGACAGGCGTCTATCACCACTCCTGGCTAATTTTTTTTTGTATTTTTGTAGAGACAGGGTTTCGCCATGTTGGCTAGGCTGGTCTCGAACTCCTGACCTCAGGTGATTCGCCTGCCTCAGCCTCCCAAAGTGTATTCTTTTTATTTTATTTTGTTATTTAAAATAATCTTTCTGGGTTGTTTACCTGCTACGGATAAAGTGTCAGATTTTCAGCGTCTGGTGTTATGAAGATGAGTCCACCTCCCTCAGTGTGGAGGCTGCTGCTCTCTGGCGCAGCCACCTGAAGGGCAGGGTCCCGAGAGAACTCAGGCCCAAGGCCCTAGAGGGTGTCCCGGCTGCAACACAGATGAGTCCCGAAGAGACTGGCCCCCGCCCCCGCCGAGGCATCACCTTACAGATAGGGAGAGTCTTCTTTTCCTGTTTTAAATTGCAGTAGTTTTTTAAAATCCCTATTGTCATTTCAAAGGTGGCATGAGGCAGCTGGGTCCCCAGGCCTGTGTCTTTCCTTTGTCTGCCCCACGGACTGTTTATTTCCCTTCTGTCTCCAGTGGTCACCCTTTGGGCAGGGACACCAGCGATGTTGTTACAGGTGTTGGCTCTCTCTGGCCTCGTTTGCTCTGGAAAGGATTCTGGTGGGATCAAATGGCCCTGTGGAAACTCAAGCTGAATTGTCTTCATTTTCTATCATTTTATTTTAACATCCCAGCAGTCCCAGCCTGTCAGGGTCTCCACCGGCAGTCAGCCATTCATCAATTTAAAGCATAGCCGTAAAGTTCTGGAAAGCGTCCAACTCCACAGAAGAAATCAGTTCTTTTCTTCTCATTTTTCTTTGAAGGCAGGAAAGAATCTGCTCATCTGGATACAAGGCATGATGACTTTTGAGTCAGTCAGGAGCCTGCTTTTAGATAGTAATACTCAACATTTCATCCACAGGCCAAAACATTGTCCTGTGGAAGGTGCCAGCGCTACTACAAAACCAGTATTACAAGTGAACTTTTTGATTTCACAATAATTGTAGGCCAGGTGTGGTGGCTCATACCTGTAATCCCAGTAATCCCTTGGAGGCTGAGGTGGGAGGATCACTTGAGCCCCGGAGTTTGAGACCAGCCTGGGAAACATAGCAAGACCTCAACTCATTTAAAAGAAAGAAAAAGAAAAAAAGAAAAAAACCATCATTGTACGTGCTTATTTATTTATCACATTTCTCATTTAGTAATAACACTTATTACTTGACAGAAGGACTTTTCTTATATTAACTCATATAATTCTCTCAATAACCCATTATATTACACCCCATCTTACACATCAGAAAATCGAGGCACTGAGAGAAGGTTGTAAATGTAATCTTGTAAATGGAAGGTTCTAAAAAATTAGCCAGATTTAAGGATTAAATGAGCATTACAACTATATTAAATAATTTTTCAGGAAGACCTAGCTTCACTCTCTGCAGTGGAGGGATTTTGTTCTAAGTTGGTCTCATCTGCTCATGGCGATTCACTGGAGTGCTTCATGGGTTAGCAGAAAAGGGAAAAGAACGCAGAATGACATGCTCATCCCTTCTCTTACCAGCCTGTACCCAGCCATAGCAGGAAGATGAGACAATAGAGCAGAGAGTACCCCACTAAGGTCCAGTGGAGGTGCCAGGACCACCTGTGGAAAAGCCATTATTTTATAGAATTTCAGAGCCACCTATAAAACACAGAGAGGAAAAATGCTGAGTCACACTATGCAACCCCCATTGTACCCCATGGGAAAGGCACCCTGGAGCACCACTCCCCAGCAGACTGAAATGTGAATGGTGCCCTGTGGAGGTGTGCAATATGGATTTCTGTCCCTTGGTGATCTCAGGGAGGTCCTTTGAGATCCTGCAGAGGTAGCTGGAAACAACTGCCTGGTACACAACCCCAGACATTTCTGCCCCCAGCTTTTGCTTATGGCCTGTCTTCATGGTGACCAATGTCTCCTCTGCAAGAGAAGTGGAAGACTGGCCACCAGAAGCTTCCATTCTGCTGTGTGGGGTCTCCTAGAGAAATTTAGGAGCAAAATCCTCCCTTAGAACAAAATCATCCGCATCTGCTATTTCCCATTTCCAGATGTTTCTTACATTGATAAGCATCTCCCAAATGTTTCTCCTTGCATTGCTGTTCTTTTAAAAAAGTAAACATAAAAAGTTAAGGCACTGTTTCTCATGTTCCTCAGCCTTCTCTAAGCCAACCCTGCACAATGCTTTCTCACCCTACCTTTTCTGCATCCGAATGTCAAGAAGACTTTTAGGGGCTTTACTTTCCATGGTTTTTGTGACTAAATTAATAAATGTACTTTTTCATACTCTGTTTGCCCCCCAACCTCCTCTTCCTCGCCGTGAGGCAGGAATTGCTGTGCTAGGCCATTATTGCCATGATGTGGTCTTCAAAAACCTGGAGACTTTCCCCTAGGACATTCAGTGCTTAGTCCTATTATACCTCTGTCTGGAATATGCCACAGTTCAGAGTTATCTGAGCCACAATGAAAAGTGGCCTCTTATGGCTGGGCACCGTGGCTCACACCTATAATCCCAACACTTTGGGAGGCCGAGGCGGGTGGATCACCTGAGGTCAGGAGTTCGATACCAGCCTGGCCAACATGGTGAAACCCCGTCTCTATTAAAAATACAATAATTAGCTGGGCATGGTGTTGGATGCCTGTAATCCCAGCTACTTGGGAGGCTGAGGCAGGAGAATCGCTTGAACTTGGGAGGTAGAGGTTGCAGTGAGCTGAGATCGCGCCATTGCACTCCAGCCTGGGCGACAAGAGCAAAACTCAGTCTCAAAAAAAAAAAGAAAGAAAGAAAAAGAAAAGTGACCTCATATACCATCCAGTCAAGCTCGGTCTTATTTGACAAACATTATATCATTTATGCAAGTGTTTCAGATGCATCCCAAAGTGCCAGGAGGGCCCCTATTGCCAGAGCTGACTTCACGTGCACATCACCTGTGTTCACACAAGGCCCACATTTAGAAGGGCTCCGTATTTGGTTTAATGCCATGTTGATGTTATCTTGAAGTTCTTGATCATTTTTTAATAAGGGGCCCCACATTTCCATTTTGTCCTAGGCCCTAGGCATATCAGTCGCTGGTCCTGCTCACAGCTTCTGTTGCCACTCTCCATGCCCTGCCCCACGGTCCTCCTGCTCCACGATTTGGGAGCAGAGAGGTTTGGCTCCCAAAAGAACTTTGAGGTTTAGTTCCTGAAGTCTTTACATAATTTATTACTAGTTCTCTTTTTCCAAGGAGGAATCTTAGAAAAGTGACATCCCTGGAAGGTTCAAAGATCATTACCCCAGTTCCCCAGGGCTAGGTAGGAACAGCTCCAACTCTAAAACCTGTAGGAGGGGAACTGGTTTTTTGTTTTTTTTGTTTTTTTTTTTTTTCAGGAATGCGGGTGGTGGTGGACCGGAGTAGATATTTTGTAAAGTGGTGAAACTAAACAGTATCTAACAGATTGCCTTTATAGGACCATATTACTGTGTTCCTCTAGCACTGAAAGAAAGGTAAGGAGCTGTCATTTCCGGAAGGCCAAAGAGCCCTAGGCAGATGGGCCATTTTGCCTGAATCTAGCTTGGAAAGTACTGCCTGATGAGAAGACATAATTCTTACGTCTATAGGGAACCTTGAGACAAGAAGTCTGGATGTGAGTGACTGCACTAGCAGGCAAACCCCCTCCAAGATAAGAGAGGAATTTGTAGTTGATGCACTATTTTGAGATCACAAGAGGTCAGTCAGGGTGAGAATGCAGCATTTCAAAGTGTGTTGATGATAGAAGCCAAAGAGCCCCTAAGTCAAGGACTCTCCAAGATAGGACTGTCCTCTCTGGCAAGCACAGGGGTGACATTTTAGACAAATCATCTCATCTTTCTGGGCTTGGTTCCTCATTTCTAAATGGTAATAATATTAGTACCAACCACATGGGGTTGTTGAGAAGAATAAATTAGTTTTTACATTAAAAGCAATTAAAACAGTGGCTGGCATATTGTAAACACTCCAGAAGTCATGGTTATGATTCATATTACTATGAAGTGATGACTTCCTCACTAAATAGCAGGTACAGGTAAAGACTGAGTTCTCTAGATGCCATCTTGAGCCACTTCCCTTTTAGCCTTGCCCATCAGATAGACCCCAGGTGTCCCTAGTCCCAGCACACATTCTTTCCAGGTGGCATTCTAGATGCTAGGAAGAAGAGAGACTGATATTTGGGAGGCTGGATGGAGGAAAAGGACAGCACCTATGAAGTGTTCTTGTTGAAGGAGAAGAAGCTGCCAGAAGAGGACTTCCAGTTTCCATCCCAGCAAATAAGAAGCTTGGAAGTCGCCACACTATCCTAACAAAAAGTAAAAAGCTGGGCCAGGCACACTGGTTCGCTCCTGTAATCCCAGCACTTTGGGAGGCCAGGGCAGGCAGATCACTTGAGCCCAGGAGTTTGAGACCAGTCTGGGCAACACGGCAAATCCTTGTCTCTACAAAAAATACAAAAATTACTCAGGCATGATGGCGCATGCCAGTGGGCCCAGCTACTCCCGAGGCTGAGGTGGGAGGATTGCTTAAGCCTGGGAGGTAGAAGTTGCAGTGAGCCGAGATCACGCCACTGCACTCCAGCCTGGGTGATAGAGCCAGACTCTGTCTCAAATAAATAAATAAATAAAGTCTGAACAAACTGAAAAAGCAACAGCTCTTCTTAGATCCATAAGAGAAGAGAGGTTACAGGGCAAATCACTGCTCCCAAATTGAAGAGACAGGCAGGTGAATACAGAGAATCACAACAGACCAGAGCACAAACTGTGGGAACCAGGGCCAGGGTAGGAAAACCTACACTGTAATTGACTAATTACTGGAGGCTCAGTGTGGATAACTCTAAGAGTGAAAAACTCTAAGACCTAGTCATGGGGATGGGAGACTCCTACACGTTTGTGTGTTTTACCCCCAAGAGCTTGACCTGGTGCTCCCATTGAATATTGGAGAAAAATCCCTCATGTTTCCAGTACAGGGAGGGGGAAAGGAGCCATTTTGGAATACACCAAAACATTCTGTTCTTCTTAACAAGGTCTGCCCTCAAGAGAAACTATTTTACCAGTGCCTAAACTACTGGGGCTTTATCAGTACCTAACTGACCTGGAGGAAAGGAAACACCAAACTGGATCCCCCTCAAATCTTCCTGTCCCACCCACAGGAGAGGAGAGGGTACCGAGAAGCAGGTGTGACATTCACAGTCCAGAGGCACAGGCTCCCTAAGGGATTCAGACCAAATCATAGGACTGTGGAACACTTTCCCATTGCCTAATGCCTTACCACCACATCACCAAAGGCCCATTTACAACAGTTCCTTTTACCCAAGACACCATGCCAGGCTTTGAAGAAAAAGTTACAAGGCATACTAAAGACAAAACAACAAAGTCCAAACAGACAGAGCAAACATTAAAGCCAGATTCGGGTATGACATGGATGTTGAAATGATCAGACCGGGAATGTAAAACAGCTATGACTAGTATGCTAAGGGCTCTAATGGATAAAGTAAGCGGCATGCAAGAACAGATGGGCAATGTAAGCAGAGAGATGGAAATTCTAAGAACTAAAAAGAAAAAGAAACGCTAGAGATAAAAAACACTGTGACAGAAAAGAAGAATGCCTTCAATGAGCTTATTAGTAGACTGGATATGGCTAAGAAAATAATCTCTGAGCTTGGGTGTATTTCAATAGAAACCTTCAAAACTGAAAAGAAAACAGAAAAAGGACTGAAATAAGTAGAACAGACCATCCAAGAACTGCAGGACAACTACAAACGGTGTAAATGGGAATATAAAAAGGAGAAGAATGAGAGAAAGGAAAAGAAGAAATATTTGAAAGAATAATGATTGAGAATTTCCCTCAATTAAGATCAGATACCAAACCACAGATTCCAGAAGCTCAGAGAACACAAAGCAGGATAAATGCCCCAAAAATACACCCAGGCATATCATGTTCAAACTGTAGAAAATCAACAGTAAAGAAAATCTTGAAAGAAGCCAGAGGGAAGAAACATCTTATCCTACAGAAGAGCAAAGGTAAGAATTATGTCTGACTTCTCTTCAGAAACAAAGCAAACAGGAAGAGAATGGACTAAAATACTTAAGGTGTTGAGAGAAAACAACCACCAACCTAGAATTCTGTACCCTGCAAAATTATCCTTCAAACATGAAGAAGTAAAGACTTCCTCAGAAAAACAAAAATTGAGAAAATTCTTTTTCCAATACAACTGCCTTGCAAGACATGTTAAAAGAAGTTATTTAGAAAGAAGAAAAATTATACAAATCAAAAACTGGGATCAACATAAAGAAAGGAAGAGCATCAGAGAAGGAACAAGTGAAGGTAAAATAAAAACCTTTATTTTTCTTATTTGTTTTGTTTTTTTTTTTTTTTTTTTTTTGAAATGGAGTCTCACTTTGTTGCCCAGGCTGGAATGCAGTAGTGTGATCTCTGCCCACTGCAGCCTCTGCCTCCCAGGTTCACGCAATTCTCCTACCTCAGCCCGAGTAGCTGGGATTACAGGGGCACACCATCATGCCCAGCTAATTTTTATATTTTTATTAGAGTTGGGGTTTCACCATGTTGGCCAGGCTGGTTTTGAACTCCTGACCTCAGGTGATCCACCTGCCTCGGCCTCCCAAAGTGCTGTGTTTACAGGCATGAACCACCGTGCCTGGCCTTATTTTTCTCATTCTTAATTGATCTGATAGATATCAGTCTGTTCAAGATAATGATAGCATCAATGTACTTAATTGTATATGCTTACGTATAAGTGAAGTGAATGACAGCAATGATACCAGGGATGGAAGGGAGGAATTAAAATTATTTTGTTATCTTAGGTTACTTGTACTATCCATAAGCGATATAGTGTTGTTTGGGGTTTGTTTGTGTGTGTGTGTTTTAGATTTTTTGTTTTATTTGAGATGGGGTCACACTCAGGCCAGAGTGCAGTGGCGCCATCGTGGCTCACTCCTGGACTCAAGTGATTCTCCTACCTTGGCCTCCCAAAGCACCGGGAGACCAGGCATAAGCCACTGCACCCAGCTGGTATAGTGTTATTTGAAGTGGACTTGGATGAGTTGTAAATGTATATTGCAAACTCTAGGGCAACTTCTAAAAAAAAAAAAAAATTAAAAAAAACTGATATGCTTAGAAAGAAGAGGAAATGGAATAATAAAATGTTCAATTAAAACACAAAAGGAAGAAAAAGAGTAGAAGACAAAATAAGAACAAAGAACCAGGGCAACTTATAGAAAACAACAATAAATATGGTAATATTCATTCAGCTACATCAATAATCACTTTGAATATCAATGGCCTAAATGCACCCATTTTAAAAATAATTATTATTATCATTATTTTATTATTATTTTGAGACAGGGTCTCACTCTGTCACCCAGGCTGGAGTGCAGTGACACAATCAAGGCTCACTGCAGCCTTGACCCCCAAAGCTTAAGCAATCCTCCCACTTCCGCCTCCGGAGTACTTGGGACTACAGTGCGCACCACTATGCAGGGCTAATTTTTTATTTTTCATAGAGATGGGAGTCTCACTGTGGTTCCCAGGCTGGTCTCAAACCCCTAGATGCAAGTGTTCCTCCTGCCTTAGCTTCCCAAAGTGCTGGGATTATAGGTGTGAGCCACTGTGCCCAGCCTAAATGCACCCACTAAAGGACAGAGATTGTTAAAGTGAATTGAAAAACAAGACCTGATTACATGTTGTCTACAAGAAACAAACTTTAAATATAAGAATCCAGATAGATTTAAAGTAAATGTATAGAGAAAGATATAACACAGTAACAGTAATTAGGAAAACAAGGATATATTAGTTTTGGAAAGAATAGACTTCAGAGCAAGGAAAGTTATCATGGACAAAGAGGGCAATATACAATAATAAAGAGATCAATTCTCCAAGAAGAAATAACAGTCCTTAATTTATGCTCCTAACAGAGCATCAAAATAGGTGAGGCAAAAAGCAACAGAACTGCAAGGAGAAGTAGATGAATCCACTATTTTGGCTGGAGACTTCAATACCCTTTTATCAAAAGTGGACAGACCCAGGAGGCAGAATATAAGTAACAATATAATTGAAGTCAATGACTTGATCAATCAATTGGATATAATGGACATCTATAGACTACTTCATCCAACAACAGCAGAATACACATTCTTCTCAAGGTCACATGGAAAAATCACCTGAGGTCAGGAGTTCGTGACCAGCCTGGCCAACGTGGTGAAACCCCATCTCTACTAAAAATACAAAAATTACCCTGGCATGGTGGCACATGCCTGTAATCCCAGCTACTCAGGAGGCTTGAGGCAGGAGAACTGCTTGAACCCAGGAGGCAGAGGTTGCAGTGAGCCAAGATCACGCCATTGCACTCCAGCCTGGGTGACACAGCAAGACTCTGTCTAAAAAAAAAAACAAAAACAAAAACAAATAAAAAAACAAAAACAAAAAAAGTTCACCAAGATAGGATTCTGGGACATAAAGCACACCTTAACAAATTTAAGCAAATAGAAATCACACAGTGTCTGCTATCGGACCGCAATAGAATTAAACTAGAAATCAATAACAGAAAGATAGCTGGAAAATTCCCAAGTACTTGGAGATTAAACAACACACTTCTAAATAACATGTGAATCAGAGAAGAAATTTCAAAAGAAGTTTTAAAATATTCTGAACTAAATACAAGTGAAAGCACAGCTTATCAAAATTCGCAGATGCACCAAAACAGTGCTTAGGGGGCAAATTACAGCATCGAATGCAAATATTTAAAAAGAAGAAAGCTCTAAAATCAATCATCTAAACTTCCTCCATAAGAAACTAAAAAAAAGAAGAGCAAATTAAATCCAAAGGAAGCAGAAGAAAAGACATTAAACATTAGAGCAGAAATCGAGATGCAACTGAAAACAGAAGATTAACAGACAAAATAAAGAAAACCTGATTTTGAAGTTTGAAAAGCCGATACTTTGAAAGCATAAAGAAAATAAAAGACAGGCAAACTAAGAATAGAAGAGAGAGGACATAAATTGTTAACATCAGAAATGAAAAAGGGAACATCACTGCAGATCTTATGGCCATTAAAAGAAACTTGAAGGAATACTATGAACAACTCTATACTCACAAATTTGATAACCTAGATGAAAGAGACATTCCTTGAAAGACACAATCTGCTAAAATTCACGTGAGAAGAAATAGGGCAATCTGAAGGCTAGGCACAGTGGCTCACACCTGTAATCCTAGCACTTTGGGAGGCCAAGGCTGGCAGATTGCCCGAGCTCGGGAGTTCAAGACCAGCCTGGGCAACATGGCAAAACCCTGTCTCTACTAAAAAACAAAACAAAAAAAATTAGCCATGTGTGGTGGCACGTGCCTGTAATCCCAGCAACTCGGGAGGCTGAAGCAGGCGAACTGCTTTCACCCAGGAGGCAGAGATTGCAATGAGCCGAGAATAGGCCTATATCTGTTAAAGAAATTGAATAATTGAATTCACAATTAATAATCTTCCAAAACAGTAAGCACCAAGTCCAGGTGAGTTCACCGGTGAATTCTAACAAGCATTTTAAAAGGAAATTTTACCAATTCTTCACAATCTCTTTCAGAAGATAGAAGCAGAGGGAAAACTTCCTAACTCATTCTATGAGGCCAGCGTCACCCTAATACTAAAACCAGACAAAGATATTGCAAGAAAAGAAAACTACAGACCAATATCTCTCTTAAACACAGATGTAAACGTGCTCAAAAAAATATCAAATGAAATCCAACAATGTGTAAATTATACACCATGACCAAGTGTAATTTATCCAAGGTATGCAAGTCAGAGTCAACGTTCAAAAATCAGTTAATGTAAATGTAATATAAATGTAATGTAAAACCTATCACATCAACAGACTAAAGAAGAAAAATCACATGGTCATCTCAATAAATGCAGAAAAACAAGTTAACAAAATTGAATGCCCACTTATGGTTAAAAAAAAAAAAACGCTCAGTGAACTAGGAATAGAGGAGAACTTCCTCAACTTGATAAAGAATATCTACAAGAAACCTATAGTGAACGTCACACTTACTGGTGAGAGACTCAGAGCTTTTTTCCCACTAAGATCAGGAGCAAGGCAAGGATGTTTCCTCTCACCATGCCTTTCAACATTGTACTGAAAGTCCTAGCTAATACAACAAGACAAGAAAAGGAAATAAAAGCTATACAGATTGGAAAGGAATAAGTAAAACTGTCTTTGTTCACAGATGACATGATTGGCTATCTAGAAAATCCAAAAGAATCAACCAAATACTGTTGGAT
Organism: Homo sapiens; assembly: GCF_000001405.40. Taxonomy (NCBI): domain Eukaryota; kingdom Metazoa; phylum Chordata; class Mammalia; order Primates; family Hominidae; genus Homo; species Homo sapiens. The sequence continues at coordinate 194,241,988 of NC_000003.12, forward strand.
CTAATAAGCAATTATAGCAAGGTTGCAGGATATAAGGTTAATATATAAAAGTCAATTACTTTCCTATACACCAGCAATAAACAAGTGGAATTTGAAATTAAAAACACAATACCATTTATACCAGCACACCCAAAAGATGACAAGCTTTATTCGAGAAAAGCTACAAAACGCTGATGAAAGAAATCAAAGAACTAAATAAATGAAGGATATTCTATGTTCATAGATACAAAGACTCAATTATTGTCAAGATGTCAGTTCTTCCCAGTTGCTCTGTCGATTTCATACAATGTCAATCCCAGCAAGTCACTCTGTGTAAATCAACAAACTGATTCTAAAATTTATGTGGAGAGGCAGAAGACCCAGAATAGCCAATACAGTATTGAAAGAGAAAAACAAAGTTGGATGACTGTCACTACCATTTGCACATACAGCAAAGTGAATCTGGACACACACTCAACTGGACATGCACATACAACAAAGTGAATCTGGAAACACACTCAACTGGACATGCACATACAAAAAAGTGAATCTAGATACACACTTTACACCGTCCACAAGAAGTAACACAGTGGACCACAGACCTAAACATAAGATGTAAAACTGGGAAACTCCTAGAATAACATAGGAGAAAATGGAGATGCCTGGGTTTCACAATGACCTTTAGATACAAGACCAAAGCGACTATCCGTGAAAGAAAGAACTGATAAGGTAGGCTTCATTAAAATTGAGCATTTCTGCTCCATGAAAGACACTGTCATGAGAATGAGAAGGGAAGGTACACACTGAGAAAAAAACATTTGCAAAAGACGTTATCTGTTAAGGAACTGGTGTTCAAAATTTACAAAGAACTCTTAAAACTCAACAATAAGAAAAAGAAACCTGGCTGGCACGGTGGCTCACACCTGTAATCCCAGCACTTTGCAGGCTGAGGTGGGCGGATCACCTGAGGTCAGGGGTTCGAGACCAGCTTGGCCAACACTGTGAAACCCCATCGCTACGAAAAATACAAGATTAGTCAGGTGTGGTGGTGGCTGCCTGTAATCCCAGCTACTAAGGAGGCTGAGGCAGGAGAATCACTTGAACCCAGGAGGCACAGGTTGCAGTGAGCCGAGATTGCGCCATTGCACTCCAGCCTGGGCGACAAGAGTGAGACTCCGTCTCAAAAAAAAAAGAAAGAAAGAAAAAGAAAAAAAGAAACCTGATTAAAAAATAGACGAAGACCTTAACAGACACCTCAGCAAAGAAGATACACAGATGACAAAGCATATGAAAAGATGCTCCACATCATATCATCATATGTCATCAGGGAAATGCAAATAAAATCAACAATGGGATACCATTACACGTCTGTTAGAATGGCCGAAATCCAGAACACTGACTGCACCAAATGCTGGCAAGGGTATGGAGCAGCAGAAGCTCTCATACATTGGTGGTGGGAATACAAACTGGTACAACCACTTCCAAAGACTTTAGCAGTTTCAAAAAAAGTAAATATACTCTTACCATATAATCTAGCAGTCATGATCTCTGAAATTTCTCCAAAGGAGTTGAAAACTTATGTCCATACAGAAACTTGCATACAGATGTTTATAGCAGCTTTATTCATAATTGCCAAAACCTAGAAACAAACAAATGTCCTGCAGGAAGTGAAAAGACAAACCGTGGTATTAATACATCTGGACAATGGAATGCTATTCAATGCTTAAAAAAAAAAAAGAGCTAACAAGCATGAAAAGGCATGGAGGAACTTACATGCATATTATTAAGTAAAAGAAAGTAATCTAGCCTGGATGTGGTGGCTCATGTCTGTAATCCCAGCACTTTGGAGGCCAAGGTGGGTGGGGAGGTCACCTGAGGTCAGGAGTTCGAGACCTGCCTGGCCAACATGGGGAAACCCCGTCTCTACTAAAAATACAAAAATTAGCCTGGCATGGTGGCACATGCCTGTAATCCCATCTACTTGGGACTTGGGAGGCTGAGGCAGGAGAATCACCTGAACCCGGGGGGTGGGGGGCAGAGGTTGCAGTGAACCGAAATGGTGCCACTGTACCCCAGCCTGGGTGACAGAACAAGATTCCATCTCAAAAAAAAAAAAAAAGAAAAAAAGAAAAAAGAAAGAAAAGAAGCTAACCTTAAGCTACATACTTTATGATTCCAACTATATGACATCTGGAAAAGGCAAAACTATGGAGACAGCAAAAAGACCAATGGCTGCCAGGAGTTAGTGGGGAGGGAGGCATGAACAGGTGGAGCACAGAGGATTTTTAAGACAGTGAAACTACTCGGTATGAACTGTAATAGAGACACATGTTATCATACATTCGTCCGAAGCCACGAAATGGACGACTAAAGTCCAAAAGTGAACCCTAATGTAAACTATGGACTCTGGGTGATAATGATGTGTCAATATAGGGTTATCAATTGTAACAAATGTATTTAATACCACTCTGGTGGGGAATATTGATCGTGGGGGAGGCTATGCATGTGTTGAGGCAGGAAGTATATAGGAAATTGCTGTACCTTCTGTTCAATTTTGCAGTGAGCCTAAAACTGCTGTAAAAATTAGAGGTTTTTGTGTTTTTGTTTTTGTTTTTTTAAAGCTTGAATCTGGGCAGCCCTCTAAATATAACTACCATTTTACAAAAAATCTAGAGGGCAGAGGAATTGTAATCATGTAAACAAACCATACAGGTGCATTCAGCAAAATCTATACTGTGGTTAACTCTATAGGACAAGTGACCCAGTTTCTTCAAAACAATAATAACAAACAAGCAAACAAAAATGCAAGAAAAAACATTGACGGAGGAACCTATAGGGAGGTCTTAAGGGACTTATCCACCAGTTAAAATATGGGAACCTCTTTTGGGTCTCAATTCAAATAAAGAAAACTAATTTTTCTTAATGTATAAGAAAATCTTGGAAATATGAACAGTGACTGAATGGTCAATGATATTAAGGAATTATTGAATTACTGTTAAAATATTTTAAGTGGCCTAATGATCTTACGGTTAGTGTTTTCTGGAGACTCTCTGTCTTATTGAAATAAAGAATAAAGTCTGGGCGTGGTGGTTCACACCTGTAATCCCAGCACTTTGGGAAGCCAAGGTAGGAAAATTGCTTGAGGCCAGGGGTTCAAGACCAGCCTGGGCAACATAGCAAGACTTCATCTCTACAAAAAATTAAAAAGTTATCTGGGCATCATGGCACATTCCTATAGTCCCAGCTGCTTGGGAGGCTGAGGTGGGAGGATCACTTGAGCCCAGGAGTTTGAGGCTGTGGTGAGCTATGATGGTGCCACTGCATTCTAGCCAGGCACAGAGTGAGGCCAGCTCAAAAGATAAGTAAATAAATAGAAAATAAAGTATATGTACATATGATGTCTGGGATTTGATCTAGAATAATTCAGGGTGTGAAGGGGATGGTGATGGTCATGAGTTGGTAATTAATAAAGCTAGGTAATGGGAATTCCTGGAAATGTATTCTAATATTCTTTTTACTCTCACACAGTTGAAGTATTCTACAATGGAAGGACAAAAAAAGGAAAAAGAAAAGAAAAGAAAACCCAATCAAGTCTGTGGGTTTGAGATATGGGTCCCTGAGAAAGGATTCTGTCCAGGTGGGACTGGGACATGCCATGTCCCATGGGAAGATTTGGGGAAAGTTACTTAGCTCTCTTTGCCTCTATTTTCTCATCTGTAAAATGGGGGTTGGATAACAGTGCATTCCTCACAGGGCTGCTGTGAATACCCAATGACTAAATAAATGTAAATCAGATATAACAGGGCCTTGCGCGTCATGGTAAGTGCCATATAACATTTGCTATTAAAGCATATCAAGCACCCTGAAGTACCCTATTGCATCAACCCAAACTAAATCTCTACAGAACCCCACAGCTCAGACATCACCTCAGTTAAGCCTCCTGATAGCCCTTGGAGATAAACCTTCTTCTTACTCTCATTAGGCAGATAGGGAACCTGAGACATAGTCCATGGACATGCAGCTAGTTAGTGGCCAAACCTGCACCAGGGTTAGATCTCCTGACTCCATCCCAAGCCCTTTGGAGGCACCAACGCCGCCCTTTAGGGGATGAGTCAGCAGCTGAAATTAGATCTTTAGCTTTGTGTGATCAAAAACTTCATTTTGTCTCTTTGCCTGTTGTGACCAGCACCCCATCCCTGGGTAGGGGATGGTAACCAGACTCAAATGGAGCTAATAGGTGTCTCTTAGTCCCAGTCTGGGCAAGAGGATGGCACAGGGCCTAGGCAACCCTTTGCCCTAGAGTTTGGCCCCAGTCAGGCCTCCCTCCTGTGGCCAAGGAGTTTGTCGCAGCTAAACACTGGGTGGGCCTGAGCGTGGGGCTGCTGGTGGGGGCTAAGGAAGTAAAACAGACAGGAGCCACTCCAAGGCTGTAGCTCAGGATAGAGGTCTCCTCCAGTCTCCAGGGAGCCAAAATGCAAGTCTAGGATTTCAAAACTAGCCTCCCACAAAGGGAGAAGTCCTTGGGCTGCAATAGCATTGTTCTTGTTTGCAATTTCCTTTCCAGGAATAGGCTTAGGGGGCTCTGGGATAGTTGAATGTAAAATAATAACAATGATGAAACCTGTGATTTGTTGAATGCTACACACTGCGTGAAGCACAAAGGACATTTTTCTCACTCAGACATTCCTTATTCACAATATACTGTGAAGTAGGCGTTTGTTTTTATTCAAACAACACAGAAGTTTAGAAAATAAGTCATGAAAGTCTCCCTCCACCATCACCATCACCAGACCTGCCCTCCAGAGGTAGCCATTGTTTACAATCCTTCTGTATTCTTCCTGACATTTGTCTAATTTAATCAACGTTATATATACACACCCACTCGTGTGTGTGCATATGTATACACATACACACAGTTTGTTTGTTTTTATAAAAGTAGGATTATACCTGATTCAGCAACTTGCTTTTTCCATGTATGCATCTTTTCCCAATCCTATGCATATAAATATATGAGACTACAAGGAAATCTGAAATAAGCAAAGAAGATTACAGGGTTTCTCCAAGAGAAAACTATTTATTGTTGAGAGCAGACCCTCTGGATTATCTGATTCCAGCCTTTGGGCTAGTTTACTGCTCTGTAAGTTTTAGGGAAGAGAGGACACACAGTGACCCTGAATTGTGGACCCGCAAATGAGCTCCATCCACCCTCCTACACGGGGCAAAAGCCAGATCATTGTGACCACTTGAAAATCAACATTCCATAACCATAAACACATCTGTTCTTTGGATTCTTCTTTGAATCAGTTGTAACATCGCTGGTTCACTCATTCACAATGATAACGTGCTCATTTTTATCTATTTTAGAATCACGATTTCTAACTTGTTTTAAAACCATTTTTTAACAACACGCATTATTTTCTCTTTGTATAGATGGTGAAATCCAGACTTTGAAAGACTGAGCAAATTGCCCACAGCAACACTGTTGATAAATAGCAGAGTTTGGATTCAAGCGCAGGTCTGCAATCCTGCTTGCGCAAATTTCAAAGGAACGGATACTGGGTATCTTCCAGGTACTAGACCAAACATTTAGTGTATGTTAATTTGTTTAACCCTCCCCTCAACCTATGAAGTGAGTGTTAGCCCCACCCTTATAGAAAAGGCAACTGTGCCCAGAGCGGTGGAGGACTGCGCTCCAGGATGCAACCAAAGCCGGGTGCACAGCAGCCGGCATGGCGCCAAAACTGAAGCCCTGAGCTGCTCTGCGGTGCTACCCTTTGTCCCTCCAGACTCTCTTTTCCTTCATCTGTTTGTCAGTAAACCGAAGCCACCACAGTTTGTCATTTGGATGATTTTCGGTAAGGTAACATTGCCCAGAAACTTTGGTTCCTGGTTTTGAAAGGAGCCAGAGGGAGCGTATGCATTTCCCAGGGGTGCCATAACAAACTACCATGCACTGGGCGGCTTAAACAACAGACACGTGTGCTCTCATGTGTTGGAGGTTAGAAGACCAAAGTCAAGGTGTTGGCAGGGCCGTGCTCCCTCGGAAAGCTCCGGGAGAGAATCCTTCCTTGCCTCTTCTAGTTTCTGGGGTTTGCTGGCAATCTCTGACATTCCTTGGTTTACAGATGCACTACTCCAGCCCTCCCTCTTCCCGTGGCATATCTGCTGTGTGTCCCTGGGTGTCTTCATGTCATCCTCTTTCTGTGTCTGCTTGTCTCTGTGTTTATATTTCCCCTGTTCTAAGGACACCAGTCATATTGAAGCAGGCCCCATCTAAGGGCCTAATTTTAACTTGGTTAAATCTGCAAAGACCCTATATCCAAATTAGGTCACATGCCGAGCTCCCAGGGGTTAGGACTTCAATGAATCCTTTCGGGGGTTGAGAGAGTAACACAGTTCAACCCGTATCAGGCAGCATATTGAAGTTTAGCCTCTACCAAGATGAGCTCTAAGCATGCCAGTCTCACAATCAGCTCTGTGGAGAAGGGGCCCTGTGGCCTCACAAATTTGGAAAAATCCTTCATGTTAGATGCCCTGGTGGTAATTCACAGGTATCATGAGCATGGTGACATGCTGGAAAGGACTGCGGCAAAGAAACCTGTTGACTCGAAGTTGGCATTTCCCAAACTTATTTGAGCATGGGAGCTGCGGGGGTGATGTGGTGGTGGCGGTGGTTTGAACAGTGTTCTGTGGAACACACTTGGGGAAACTCACATAACCAGAGCATGACTTTGAAGCCAGGAAGGCGTAGACTGGCATCGTGACTCTGCTATTAACCGAATATGTGACCTTGGGCCATGAATTTCCCTCTCTGAGTCTCGATTTCCTCATTTCTACAATAGGAATGAAAATTTCTAATCAATTACTGAGGGATAAGTTCACTGCTAAAACAAACAAACCCCAAAAAGCATAATGGCTGGGAAACAATAGAGTATAAGTTCATTTTCTTGCTCAGGACAGGGCAGAGAACATGCTGTCCGGGCAGTCTTTCTCCACACAGTCATTCAAAACCCCAAGGCGAGAGATGCTCTGCCATTTTAAGTTTGTAGCTTCCAAGGTCATGGTGGGGTTGCCCCTGTTCCATCCAGGCGGAAGGGTTGGAGCTTGGAGACTGCTTCCTGGGAAGTTTCTAGTGGGAGGCTCTGGAGTGGGGCAACCCACTGCACTGCTCACATTCCACTGGGCAGAACCCGATCCTAGGGCTGGACTTAACTGTAAGGGGGTGGGAAAATTAGCAGCTATTTCCTTGCAGGAACTCAACCCTAAAAGAAGGAGAAGTACACCCTTGCAGTGGACACCTAGCCCTCTTCTAGTTTCTTATAGTTTATTCTACTTTGCAGGTGTGTTCTGAGGGTTAAATGAGGCTTTTGACATAGGCAGCATCCTTAGTATCACACACAACTAAATACAGGGCCAACAGTTTGAAAATGGAAAAAGATATGAATGGGAAGCGCCTTGAAGGATGAAATAGGAGCCAGGCCCTGGTGCACAATACAAGTGTGGGCCCCCCCGCGCCTTTCTTACCCAGGCAACCTGATGGCCCCGGTCTGGTGTGTGGTAGGAAAAGGGGAGTGAAATCCTCAGGGTGCCATTCAACCTCAGCAGCTTCTTCCCATGCTTCCTTTCCAGCCAGATGGAGAAGCTGCAGCTCCAGACTCTTGACAGCCGCACAACTTCCAAGGCAGTGGCCCCGCGGGCTGCAAACCCCACCTTCCTGCAGTTGCAGAGCCAGCTAAGAGGTGGGCAGCATGCCAGGCCCCATCAGCAGCCCCTGGAGCACACACCAATTGCAGATGCTCAGGAGACTCGGGGGAAGGAACGGGGTTTTCACCAGAACACCACAGGCAGGACCTCCCAGCAAAGGCCTCCAGATGCTGTGAAAACCTAAGGCTCGTCCTCCTCCTGGCTTCCCAGGTTACCCAGCCACAACACACAGGTGAGAACCATCTCAAGACCTCCCCACTTTTGGGCTCCCTTACCCTGACTCATCGGTCGTCAAGGGACCAAAAGGGGTCAGTAGAGCAAGGCCCCTGCCTTCAAAGAATGCATGCATTTTTTACCTTCATATTAATTATTGAAAAAACCGTACCTCAAATCACACCCCCAACCTCTCAGCATGAACAAGCTCCAGCAGACTTCTCCCAGCAGCCCCTCCCGCCTTTCTCTGCATGTAGGTCGGCTTTTCAGAGCTGCCATCAATGTGGACATAAAGCCCTGCTTTCCACACTCCTCCCTCCGCTTTGTATACACTTTCCCATGCATCTGGGTCAGCCTGGAGCTGAGTATTTCACAGGGCAGCAAAATATACAGAGGCATATTTTGTTTTAGAATCTTAATACCCAGAACATCTGGGTAATACTCAGACAACTGGACAGATTCTTGCTGATGCTGCAAGTCTCCAAATACGGTCCCTTGCAGAGAGAAAATGCTGTATTTTGCATCTGTACCTAGGCACATGGGTTTTCTCAAGCATAGTGGACTTTGGAGTGTGACAGTTAGTGATTTCTCCCCGGGAAGTGGCATGACCTGTAGGAGTTACTGTTGGCTGCAGCTGCTGGTGCAGCCCAAATTATTTATTGGTTTTGATTCGTGCACCGTTCCCTGCGTAAATTAAAATGTGACATTATTACACCCTCCGAGAGCCCATCGGCGACCTTGAGCACTCTCCCCCCACTCTGCAGCCATTATTCAGCATAATTTGACTGGTTTCAGGCAAGTTGGGAGGGTGGGAAGGGATGGGTGGGGGCAGGGGAAGGCAGAGTCCAAATTAGAAACAGATTTAAAGAGCATTTGCAGGGAATTAGGCAGTGGGCCAGGCGCGCTTGCTGGCAGCATGTGTAACCCCTCTTTAGGGACTGTCAGCTCCTCCCAGGTTTCCACAGCGGATGTTTCCCGGCCGGAGCACAGCTGGGTTTCAGTTGTCAAACCCACAGCCAAGACATCTGAGAAGCGGGTGGAGCATCCATGTGCACGCATGTGTCTGCACCCGGCCATATGCACACACACTCGACCCTGAGGATACTCCCAGCACAGCTCCACACATCCACACCCAAGACGGCACACTCAGGACATAGAAGGATACAGGGGCGCACAGAGAGAATCAGGACAGACACACTTACACAGGTGCACACGCAGACTCCACTTGTGCCCTGCTGACACTTTCTAAGAGGGATTCCAGAGCAGATTTCCTAATCCATCCTCCCTCCCTCCACCTCAAGTCGGGCTGTGTGACATGAGTTAGCCCCTCGACCTCTCTGAACCTCTGTGTCCTTAACTGTTAAGAGTGAATAATGGCAGCTGCAACCGTCAAAATGGGATAATGAAGAAACATGGTGTACACTCTGCAGCTTTGTTCGGATGTGGGACAGGGCGAGCAGGATGGTGGCCGTGATCGTGAGGAAGACAGTGGTGGTGATGGTGAGGAAGACAGCAAACCTTTGGCTCATGGCCTTTCTGGAGGGGACATAAAGCACTTTGCAGTCGTGCTGCTTACTATGATGAAAAGAATGAGAGACACCCATATGGGGAGAGCAGGGCAGAGAAGGAGCAAGGCACCCTTTCCCCAGGGCCCCTGTGGTGGGGTGGGGGACAGCAGTCAGCACCAGCCTGCACAGCTCTGGGCACCTTGCTGCACAGGAAGCCTGACGCTGAGGCCTGGTCAGCTGGCCGCCCAGGAGGCCTTGGGCTGGACTGACGTGGCACTGAGGCTGCAACTACTCTCCTAGCTCTGCTCCGCCACTGCCCCTTGTTGCCCTGCCATTCCTGTCACAGTCCCTCACAGGAGCTCGGCCTTCACCCCACTCTGGGTGAGGAGTAGCTCCTCCTCCTTCTCCTCCAAGCTTCCCTCCAGCCATCCGAATTCCCAGAGTCCCACCCCTCCCTAAGTCCCTCCAGCCTTCAGATGGATCCAAAAGAACCCTTTCCTGGGAATCTACCGTGCACAAATGAGCCCTTGTTCTGGGTGCTGTGGGGAGGGGGAGGGGGGACCGGTGGTCAGAGACCAGTTGGATGTTGCCCCTGCCCCGGGGACATTCACAAGCCAGTGAAGGGATGAGCACGAAACCCCATGGGGACCCGGTCAGAAGATGCCAGGAGAGGGCACAAGCACCGGGTAGACTTTGGGAGGTCCAAGGCCAGGAAAGCATGTCCTACTGTGCAGATCAAGGCGCTCTGCACCAAGTGACCTGTCATGGAGAGGAACGGAATGGGTGGCACCAGCACCCGAAACACACTGCTACATGGGGCTGGCCCATGGATAGCCGCGCACCTCAGAGTGAGCAGTGCCAGAAGCCAGGTAGATTGGGGGTGGAGGGCTGGGGGAGAGACATGAGGCAGGAAGCAGTTAGGCACCAAAGCAGGAGTTTCTAGACCTTCGGTCAACAAAAATTCAAGGAGCACCTGCTTGCGCTAAGTGCTGGAAATGCAGTGATGCGTAAAACACAGAGCCCGCTTCGTGGAACTTAGCATCAAGAGAGAACACTTGACATGCAGACAGGCAATGCCAGTGTCGTGGGATGCGTGCTCCCCAGGAAATGGGCTAGGCATGTGGCACTGGGGGCACAGAGGGACCATCTAATTCAAACAGGAAAAGGGGAGGCTTCTGGAAGATGTGGACAAGAACCCAGGCTGTACGGGGAGCTCAGGAGAGCTGCCAGGTAAAGGGTAAGTGGCGGTGAAGGAGAGAGATGAGACTTAAGAGGTAAACAAGGGTCAGGCCATCCTGACAGGTCTCCCCTGGCTCACTCACTCTCACTCACATCTTCCATTCCGCAAATGGTACGAGCAACCATTTCACAGGTCCTGTGCTGGGTGCAGAGACTGCAACGGTGAGCAAAGCAGACATGGGTGGGTTGGACAAAGGTTGTAACTGGGAATGGAGAGAAACCGGTGGATTTGAGAGCTCACAAATCAACTGTATTTGGGCGATGGTGGTGACAGAGAGGAAATGATTTCAGATGATTCTCAGGTTTCTAGGTGGGTGCCTGGTTGGAAAAGGTGCCCCTTCCTGAGGAGGAAACACAGAAATGGCAGCATGTTGAGGGACCTAGGGGACATGCTGACAATGATGAGTCTGCATTGGTCTTGCTTGTTTGCAGGGCTGGGACAGGGGCTAGGTGGAAACTGATGGCCATCCAGATGAGAGCAGATCCCCAGATGAAGATACAGGGAGCAGTGGCAAGAAGGTGGCAAGAGATTGGCTGCCCAAACCCCAGTTAAGAGGAGTAGGGGTTAGGAAAGAATTCCAGCCCGAGCTGGGGATCTAGAGTGCTGAAGGCAAAAAGCCAGCCTATTCCAGGTGCCTCAGGTACCAGGATTGTGACAACAAAACAATGCCAGCCCCTTCTTGCTGGTGGACTGGTCAGGCCCAGCTGCAAAAACCCTCTGTCTGGATGAAGCTTGCACAGCGGAACACCACCAGCACCTACACGGCATATTCTCCTGTACGTTAGGCTTCCCCCACCACCACCACTAGATCCCACACAGCACTTGGCACAGGGTTGGTCAGATAGTAAGTGCTCAATTAATACTCTCCTGGGAGCAGATAGACTTTCAGCCAAAAGCAGGAGACTCCAGTGATGAATGCAGCATTAGACCCTTACTGGGCCCTCACTGAGTTGCCTTTGAATTGAATTGGAGCTGCTGGTCTCCTTTAACCACATTAGGAGAAAGCCCCATTTATTAAATACCTTCTCCCCGCCCTCCATAAAGATGGCAGTCTTCAGTGACAACCTTTAGTCTCTAGAGTTTAGGTCAGAGACTTCAGCTTACACTCTTTGAAACCCCAGGCATTTGACCTACAACTGGATTCCCTAAAATACTGCCATGTTGATGAAGTCCAGGCTGACTGTTTAAAATAAATACTCACATTCAGGCTGAAATTGAAGTCCGGGAACAAATGAGAACAGATAATCAATCAGAGATGGAAAGAAAGCATTTTCTGTGCTAACGTGGACCCCCTTGGGAGGGGCCTCATTTGAACAGGGAAGTTTCAGAAGCGTATACCAAAGAAAGACTATTTAATCAGCGAAGAGGACAACGTGGAAGGCAAACCTAGAGTGACTGGGTCATGATTTTTCCTGCTGAAAAGCAGGTGGATGCTCATAACATGGGGTAGATCTCATACAACAGGACAGAAAGGCTATGCGTGGCCAGCTGCAGGAGTGCCCTACTCAGAAGCACAGTCTCCTCCCCTGCACATCACGGTGCGTGTCCTGCACTGGCACCTCAGAGCCGCCACCCCTGCCATTCACTATGGCACAAGGCACAGCGTCAGGGCTCCTCCTTCAATCCCAGGGCCATCCTTACCCAGCAAGGCTCAGCTCGGCTGGTCTTCTAAGGCTGGCAACGAGGTAACTGAGAGGGAAGTGACTTGCCCCAGATCTCCAGTTTAATGGTGGCAAAGCTGAGATAAGAACCCTGGTCTCTGAGTCCAGCTCTGATGCTGCTCCCCATTTGTGCTGTGAAGAGGAACTGCAAGCAAACTCAAGCTCATCCATCTATGTTTCTCTCCAAACAGAAAATTCTTTATTCCTTGTCATCATCTCTATCACTCTCCAAGGAATAGATCTATCTTGAGTCATGATTAGGATGTATTTTGTGTATACAGAAAGAATATTAGAGAAACGACAATAGACAGAGGCGTGGATTCCACGGCATAAATACTTCACACTTCTGGTTAACTGCAAGTCAAATTTTGGCCTTGTTCAATTTATTTTAAGATAAAAACTAATCTTGTAAGCCAGACGAGGTGGCTCACACCTGTAATCCCAACACTTTGGGAAGCCAAGGCAGGCGAATCATTTGAGGTCAAGAGTCCAAGACCAGCCTGACTGACATGGTGAAACCCGGTCTCTACTAAAAATACAAAAAAAATTAGCGGGGCTTGGTCGTGCATGCCTGTAGCCACAGTTACTCGGGAGGCTGAGGCAGGAGAATCGCTTGAACCTGGGAGGCGGAGGTTACAGTGAGCCGAGATCACACCACCGCACTCCAGCCTGGGCAACAGAGCAAGATTCTGTCTCAAAAAAAAAAAAAAATATATATATATATATATATATATAATTTTTGTAATACATACCCTATTAAATGTATCACTGATTATTTTATTTTTAAAAATAAAAAAAATTAAGTATCACATAATTGGATTCACAAATAGATTTGCATTAAAATATTCAACTTAATATTTTCCATTTCAAAAACAATAAAGTAAATGGAAAAAGTATCTTAAAAAGAATCACAAAAATATCTCTTTATCTCTTTTCAGATGCTGGGTCTGGGACGGCTCCACTGGAACCTGAGATGACCTGAGGGTGTCCCAGTGATATAACATATGAGGAAAGCAGAAACAACTAAGAAATAGACTCTGAATGTGGCAGATTCTAGAACTGAGGTGAGCAGCCAGGACTTGCCTGACATGCCCACTGGGAGTACGGTGCTAGCAGCCTGAGAACAGAGCCCAGCCGCCACGCCACCAGGATGGGAGTGGGCCCGGCGGACTTCCTGCCTTTTGGTCAGACAGACTGCCTTCCTGAATTACTAGGTCCAGGAAGTGTGGTGACGGGGTGGGGGCGGGTGGAGAGGTTGCACGTGTCACTTACCACCCCCATACGGCCCTCTTCCTGACTGTCGCCTCCCTTCCTCGCTTACAGACCAGTTACTTAATCTGCCACATGACGAGATGGTATCTGGGATCTCTAACGGCTCTGAAATCCCACAATTCTATAACTGGTCTTAGACACAAGACCAGTAAGAGATAGGCGAACCCCGGCCCCGCCCCGCAGTTTGCTCCATGTGATACACAGTTCACACTGAGTGCTAGCAGTAGGGGAAGAAACAGTAGCTGCTCTGTGTTGAGCACTGAGCCTGCACTGAGCAAGGTGATGCGTGTTTCTAGGCATCGTCACATTCTGTGCCCATGTGGGTGCTCCTAGCACCAGTCAGAAGATAGAGCTTAAACAGGTGGAGTAAGTTGCCCAAAGGCCAGCCCCAGTTTCCCTGAATCTCATCATGCTGGACACTGGACTATTTCTGGAGGTTTAAGGCTGAGAAAATCTAAGTCTGTATCCCCTCACACTCCTCCTTACACTGGTGTCCCTGGGAGAAACCTCGACATTACTCCCAACCTCGCTTCTCCCCAAGAGCAGGATGATTTGTGTAACTCATGAGTTTGGGAGAAAACCCGCACCTGTGGGGCTCGATCCCTCTGCCTCTTGGAGCAGAAGGCGGCCTTCTGTGCTGGGCTCCGTCCTGGGGGAGGTCCGCAGCTGGCCATCTGCGCCAGGCCCTAGCAGATAATAAAGCTTATCTGTCCCAGGTGTGATGTATTAGCAAGCCTGCCTGGCCGTACCTCAAGCTGCATTTTCCTCCAATTTGCCAAGAAAGGGGACACTTTCTCTCAGTTGGTTCTGGACTCTGAAAGAAGAAAGGGTGTTGTTATTCATCCGGTTTCCTAGAGCCCCACCATATGGACACCTGGTGCAGCCCTGAAGGGAGGGATGGCAGCAGGTTTAGGGATGGAGACATCTCAGAGCCAGAAGAGACCTTCTAGCAGCCCAGCAGAAATATAATGAAGCCACACAGGTGACTGTAAATTCCCTAGCAACAATATTAACAAATAGAAGCAGGAAAAATTAATTATAGTAATACATTTTACTTAGTTCAATAGAGCAGATGATCATTTCAATATGTGCTCAGAGTGCAGTGTGGCTAACGGCTTCTGTCATGGACAGTACAGCCTTAGGGCCTCCTATGCCTGAGGGGGTCTGCTCCCTTTGACAATGTCCCAGTGCAAAGACTTCCAGGTGTGAAGAGGTCTCAACCTTCTGAATCACTCCATTTAGTGGTGGGCATTTCTGGTTGTTAGAAACACCTCATCCTCCATTGGTCTCCACCCCCACTCAACTTGCTTCCATCTCTCTGAGAGACAGTCAGAACGGAACACATTCCTCTAGAAAGGTCCTCAGTCTTTTCTGAAATGCCTATCTCCTGTCTTTCACAGGCTGCTGCCTCCCTGTGTCATTGCCTAACATTGGTATTCTTTGGTGGGACAAAGTTTTGGTGTTTTTCTCACTTGAGAATATTATATTTATAACAGTTGTGGACACATGTTGTTTTTTAACTACCCAGCATCCAGTCTTCCTAATTTAGAAGAACCCCAAAATAGGTGAAAAGTACAACCCCACCTCTGATCCCGCCTCTGACCCCGCCTCCTGTCACAGAGGCGGAAGAGGAGCAGATCTTCACTTTCCACACCTCAAGGTACTCAGCCAATCACCTGTTCATGCCTGAGATTGTGAATCCAATAGGAAAGTACAAGGACATGGAGATTGTCAGAGCTGTTGTATGATGGTGGCAGCAGAGTCAAGAGTCCAGCGGAGAGGCAGCAAGCATCCCAAGGATCCCATGACTGAGAACCAGCTTCTGTGGTTTAGAAGCAAGGCGCCAACTGGTATGAGAAGCACAGACAGATGGTGCCCTGGGAACACTGGCTGTCACGTGCTGGAGGAGGTTCCTCAGCAAGTCACCTTCCCTCCATGGGCCTCTGTTGGAAAGAAGGCATCAAGATCATTCCAGCTATGATTCCTGAGCTTTTAATATATTCTTTCTGATGATTAAGAAATATATCTGTCGAGCATGGCAGCTTACGCCTGTAATCCTAGCACTTTGTGAGGCCGAGGCGGGTGGATCATGAGGTCAGGAGTTCAAGACCAGCCTGACCAACATGGTGAAACCTCGTGTCTACTAAAAATACAAAAATTAGCCGGGTGTTGTGGTGTGTGCTTGTAATCCCAGCTACTCGGGAGGCTGAGGCAGGAGAAACACTTGAACCCGGGAGGCGGAGGTTGCAGTGAGCTGACATCACGCCACTGCCCTCCAGCCTGGGTAACAGAGTGAGACTCCATCTCAAAGAAAAAAAGAGATATATCTGCATGTGACATGGAAAGAGGCTCAGAATATCAGACATTTTACTACAGATCTTGAAAACAGCTCTCCAAAACTAACTCCAGATCCACCCTGGGGTTCTCAACTCCACATGGTTTTCTAAAATTGAGACCAAGACTAAGATGAAGAGCTATGCCTCGCCCTGATGCTGCCAGGACTACTGTTCCCATGACTACCTTGAGGTGCAGGCTGAGACCCTGGGTGTCTGTGGTGGCAGAGTACAGCAGAGGAGTTGGAGTCAAAGCAGTTTGGATCCTCATCCCAGCTGGGCCTCCTGATGTTGGAGGGCCCTGGACAAAGGGTTTTCATTTGCTGGGTCTCAGTTCTCCACATGGACAACAATGCACTGTATGAGTTTTAAGGTTCTTTTCAGCTCTGACTCTCTGTGAGTCTGAATCCAGTAGGAGCTATTATTTCCTTGATTCCTCCTTACTGTTTTGTTCCCTTCTTCTCTGGTTTCTGTATTAAAACTTTATATGTTTATGAATGGATAATCAAAATGTGGTATATCCATATCATGGAATATTATACAGCCATGAAAAGGAATGAAGTACTGATGCATGCTACAACATGGATGAACCTTAAAAACACTAGGCTAAGTGAAAGAAGCCAGTCTCCAAAGACCATATGTGGTATGATTTCATTGATATGAAATGCTCAGAATAGGCAGATTTGTAGTGACAGAAAGTACATTAGTGGCTGCCTAGGGCTAGGAAGAGATGAGGAGTGACTCTCAATGAGTACAGGATTTCTTTTGGAAGTGATGAAAATGTTCAAAAATTGATTGCAGTGATGGCTGTACAACTCTGTGAATATATGAAAAACCCTTGAATTATACAATTGAAATTGGTGAATTGTATGGTATATGAATTGTATCTGAATAAAGCTGTTAAAAAAACGGGGAAGAAGTTTAAGAGAAATCCAATATATTTTAAAGCTCTGCTCATGGCATTGGAGGTTAGCCTTGAAAATTAAATCCACTCACAGTCCAACAATTCTATGTTGTTTGGGTTTTTAAATTTTTCCCTATTATTAAATTGATTCATTTGAATGTAACTACTTTAAAATCACCCCTTCTCCGAAGGTCTAATTAGCAGTCTAATGGGATCAGAAAAAGGAAAAATGGGATCTGACAAGTTTCTATGCTTGATTCCAGAGAGTTCATTGAGGTAGTTTCTCTTTTCTCTAGACTCTTTTGTTAGATTCTACTGGAAATCCTATCTGAAGAATTATTATAGAACAGTGCAGCTCATACTTTAATGTGCACACAAATAACGTGGAGATCTTGTTAAAATACAGATTCTAACTTAGGAGGTCTGGGGTGGGGCCTTGGAGTCTTGAACCTCTGACAAGCTCCCCATCGATGCTGATGCTGCTGGCCCATGGACCACACTGCAAGCTGCCAGGCTCCAGAACACTGTCTAATATGACCACTGAGCACTTGCAATGTGGCTAGTCTGAATAGGGATGTAATGTAGGTGAATGAATGAGAGAATATAAGTGATGTCAGTGTAAAATATATCATAGTTTTCAAAGACTTAGTAAAAAAAAAGAACATGAAATAATTTTTATATTAGTTGGACATTGGCATAATAATATTCTGCCCTGGGCGTGGTGACTCACGCCTGTAATCCCAGAACTTTGGGTGGCTGAAGCAGGCAGATCACTTGAGACCAGGAGTTAGAGACCAGCCTGGCCAACATGGCAAAACCGTGTCTCTACTAAAAACACAAAAATTAGCTGGGCATGGTGGTGCACACTTGTAATGTCAGCTACTCGGGTGGCTGAGGCACGAGAATCACTTGAACCCAGGAGGTGGAGATTGCAGTGAGCTGAGATCGTGCCACTGCACTCAAGCCTGGGCAAGAGAGCAAGACTCTGCCTCAATAATAATAATAAAAATATTCTGGGCACATTAGATTACATAAAATGTATTATTTTTAAAATTACAAATTTTATTTGTGAAAGAGACTGGTAGCACCCCTCTCTCAATTATTCAACTCCCCTTTTTCCTTAATAACAGATTTCCAGCTGGGCAAATGGTAGCCACATGGAATAAAGACTATATTCCCCAGCTTCCCTTCCAGCTAGGTGAGACCATGTGATATAGTTTGGACATTTACCCCAGCCCAAATCTCCTGTTGAATTGTAATCCCCATTGCTGGAAATGAGGCCTGGTGGAATGTGTTTGGACCACGGGGGCAGATCCCTCATGGCTTTTGGTGCTGTCTCCGTGATAGCGAGTTCTCACGAGATCTGGTCATTTAAAATCATGTGCTCCCCCTCACCCCGCCCACTCTCTCTCTCTTGCTCCTGTTTTCTCCATGTGAAGTGCCTGCTCCAGCTCTGCCTTCTGCCATGACTGTAAGGTTCCTGAGGCCCCTCCAAAAGCAGATGCTACTATACTTCTTGTATAGCCTGCAGAACCATGAGCCAGCTCAACCTCTTTCCTTATTATAAACCCAGTCTTGTGTATTTCTTTACAGCAATGCAAGAACAGCCTAATAAGCTGTGTGACTAATCACTGCATGAAACGGAGGGAGAGAGTTGTGCAGCTTCCAAGAACCTTCCTTAAGAGATTATGTCAGTTCACCCCTTGCCTTCTTCTTCTTCATTCCTTCCTCCATCCTGCTGACTAGAATGAAGAGATGTTGTCATCTTGGACCATGAGGTCAAGGCCATGAGTGGACCAACAGGATGTAAATGTCATGAGGGCAGGGATTTTGTCTGTTCCCCATTCCCCAGCTGCTGTGACCCCAATGCCTAGTCGGTGCTAAATAAATATTTGCTAAGTGAATGAATGAACGAACAAGCCTGGGAGTCCGATACTGGGGAGGCAAAGTGAATGAATGAATGAACAAGCCTGGGAGTCCGATACTGGGGAGGCAATGTCAGCCCCAGACCACCCACCTGGACTTTTACATGAGTGAGAACCAAACTTCTACCTTGTTTAAACCAACCCTAATCCTATCAATACAATTTTTAAAAGTCCTATCATTGTTTTAGGCCATATAAAGTCTACCTAAAATGTTAAGCTAAACCTCGGTAAATTGAATCACATTTCCAATGCATTGTGATATTCATTTTTTAATGTTGTGGATTATTTTACAGAGCCAAAATCCATCCACTTGTATGTTTAATAAGTTTAGGTTTTAGTAATTTGGGTTTCTAAAACCAAAATCCACTTCCAAGAGTACTTTCTTACTAACAATGCAAAGCACTGTAAAAATTCAATCCAGCAATGATTTTCTTAACAGCCCTAGAATGTAATATAAGTGTTATTAGAATGTAATATAAGTGTTATTAGAATGTAATATAAGAGTTAGTATCAAAGGCAGCATCTTACAAGATAGAGATGAGCTAATTTCCTTTCCCAACTCAGGGAAAATTTTCCATTTTCATTCTGTGCCCATTACACTTCACTGCTCTTAAATTGAATAAGAAGTTTACATCGGAGACTAGGAGTTTACATAGGAGTGGCAGATTTTAAGCAAAAACAAGTGTTTTTTGCTTTTTAAGAAAAACATTTCATTTCATTCTCTCAAGTTTTCAGCCCTGCTGACCTCTGAGAAGAATTACACCTTTATACATTGCTTTCTTAAAGGAAAAAAAAAAAAACTTTGAAAAAAAAAAGGGCTTGATTAATTAACTTTGGTATGCAAACCGGTGGGGGTAAAAGTTCAGTCAACACTGTGCAGAGCACCATGTCCGCATCTCCTATTCTCAGGAGAACAAGAGGAGCCGGCAGGATTTCAGTGAACCTGGAGAGGGCAGGTTGGACTACTGGCAGGGCTGGGGGTGAGGGTGGGGAGAGGCAAACAGAGAGACCAGGATGGACCAACCCTAGGTGTTTGCACTTGCGACCTTTCTCAAGGGCAACGAGAGTTACTATCACCTGTCACAGGAGGACACAGAGGACACCAATGTGATTTTTCACCCTTCCTGTAGCCTGGAGGCCTTGTTCTTCATTCCAAACTCACTGGACTGAGGGCTTTGAGGTCACAGAGGCCAAAAATCAGTTGTGGGTCATGTTTGTCTCATGAGCGGTCACACACTGACACGCCAGTGAATGCCAGCTTCCACTGGAGGCTCCTGGGGCTGCAAGGCTCTGTTCTGTGACACAAGAGGAACCCCAGAAGGCCACTTGACTCCAGTACAGCATCCTTACTTGCCACACCATTACCCTTCCAGGCTGGAAGCCTCATGTTTGCCATGAGCCCATTGCCTGGGTATTTCTGATCAAGGAAGCTTTTTATCAGAAGGCATCTGATATCTAAGTTTCCTTTTAGTTGAAAAAAAAAAAAACTTTTCTCAAAATATACCATTGGTACAGATTTTCAGAGCTGAATTCCAAACAGAACTGAGTAACATGCCTTTAAACAACGTGTTTAAAAACTCTGGAGTCACAAGATACATTTAATGACTGATTTGTGATATCTTGCAGAAGACGGAAATTCTGGAAGGGAGACGAGACATAAATAGCATTAAAGTGCAAGAGATAAGAATATATATAGTGAGATCCATCTGCGAGGCTAAAAATCATGTGCCAAGCAAAGAATGCCAAAGGATGGAGCTGGAAAAACCAGTGGAGAAGGCTCTGGACATGAAACTGGACATTGGCCTACTGTGAATGGGGAGCCATTGATTATTATAGAGGCTGAGCAGGACAGAACCAGATTTTTTTCTTGAAACATAAATCAAATGACAAAGTGGATAAATGGATGGCGTAGAGAGCTACGAGAAGCAGCTACTGCAAGGGCACAGATGCAAAACTCGGAGCAGGCAGGACCATGGAGCTGCTCGGAAATGGTGGCTACTTTGATGGTTGCTGGTCCTGAGGTGAAGGGAGCAATTCTGATGCAGAGGACGTTCAGGTTTCTGGCTTGAGACCTTGGGAGATGGAGAAGAAAGAGCAGTTTGAGAGGCGGAGGGTGAAGATGAAGAGGTCATTTTGGACAGTGTGTTTAGGTGCCTACAAGAGTGGCAATGGAGGAGACACTTTGGCAAGACTGCCTGGGTTTATAGGAGCCTCCTTTTTCCAGATTAAGGGCTATCTTTCCACTTATTCCCACAGTATCTTCACGTGTCACAGGGCAAGAAGATGCTGAGGCCCAACCTGGAACTTGACCCTCAGCGCAAGTGGCTTTCAGTAGTAACAATGCATTCTTCCAGGTAGCAATTCCCACCACCTCATCAGCACCTACTGTGTACCCAGCCCTGGGCCCCAAGCTTTCCACTCTCTGTTTATCCTATGACAACCCTTTGAGTGAGGTATCACCGCATATCTCAAATGGGCAAACTGAGAGCTAAGACTGAAAGAGCCAGTTACATGCCCAAGTTTTCACAGCTAGAAAGCGGCAGAACTGGTGCTCAAACCAGGCCTATGCGTTCCCTTCTATGAGACTGCACTCACCGCATTATATCACCGCAGGCAAAGGTCAGAACGGAAGCCTAACCAGTTCTATAACGGTATCATTTGCAAAACTCATTCATTCATACATTGAATTAACACTGAACTCCTATTAATATATAGGAGCTAGAAGGGTATATGTACTAATATATCTACAAAATATAAATGTGGTCAACCTGACATGGGTGCTGGGGTAGAGATAATGCTTGCGATTGCATAAGCAAAAATAACAGTTTTGGCCTTCGAGGAGTTCTAAAGCAGTGGTCAGCAAACTATGGCCTGGGGGCCAATTCTGGCTCATTACCTGTTTTTGTGAATAAAGTTTTATTGGAATCACAGCCATGTTCATTCATTTACATATTGTCTATGGCCACTTCTGTACCGCAATGTCAAAGTTGAGTGGATGCCACAGAGATCATAATGTCCCATAAAGCTTAAAATATTTATCTATCCCTTTATTTTAAAAACTGCCGATTCCAGGACTAGCGTCAGAACCACAGAGGCTATGGAGTACAATAAAATGTAGATTATTAAAAAGGCACAAATAAAGAGCTGTGACCAAGTCGAGGAGAGCGACTAAAGCCACAGGCAGGATGTACTCAGGAGGAGGTTTTCAAACTGAGCTTTGACAAATGAATGGGGTGTTAGCAGCAGACTCCAGTCCGGAGCGCATCCCCCAGGCGGGCCTGCACATGAGCCAGAATAAGGTGGAGGATGCTTAGATGCGTGGGAAGCAGTCATTCAGGTCTCTTTCCAGAGGAGCAGAAGTCATTGTGGTGGGCGGGACTCTGCCACCGCTCAGCTATGTGACCTTGAGCCAACCCGCTTACCTCCTTGTCCCCCTGACACCAGCCATCTCTCACTGGCCTAGCAGGCTGTGAGAAGCAAATGTGAGGGAAAAAAATACCTGAATGACTTGTGAAAAGTTTAAGCTGTCTGCAAACCTGGGGGGTGTTCATGGCAGTTGTATGGGCTGTATGTGCACATAGACAGCCTCAAAGATAATCATGCATAGAACCTACAAGCAAAGGCCGAGTGTGGTGGCTCACGCCTGGAATCCCAGCACTTTAGGATGCTGAGGTGGATGGATCAACAGGTCAGGAGATCAAGACCATCCTGGCAAACATGGTGAAACCTTGTCTCTACTAAAAATACAAAAATTAGCTGGGCGTGCTGGTGCCTGCCTGTAATCCCACCTACTCAGGAGGCGGAGGCAGGAGAATCGCTTGAACGAGGGAGTCAGAAGTTGCAGTGAGCCGAGATTGCACCACTGCACTCCAGCCTGGGAGACAGAACAAAACTCTGTCTCAAAAAAAAAAAAAAAAAGAACTTAAAAGAAAAAATGTCAGCCCTGGATGGAAAGCTGCCTTTGTCCCTGGCTGAGCACATACTATTTTAAATAAATTCATTCAGTGCAGCTTGGTAATTTTCGAAAGCGTCATCCTTCAAGCTGGGCATGTGTGGACGTCCCGCCCCACAGGACTGCAGTGCGTGCTCCCCGGGGTCTGTGCTGGAGGACTGCAGTGTGTGCTCCCCGGCCCGGGGTCTGTGCTGGAGGACTGCAGTGCGTGGTCCCCGGGGTCTGTGCTAGAGGACTGCAGTGTGTGCTCCCCAGCCTGGGGTCTGTGCTGGAGGACTGCAATGCGTGCTCCCCGGCCCGGGGTCTGTGCTGGAGGACTGCAGTGCGTGCTCCCCGGGGTCTGTGCTGGAGGACTGCAGTGTGTGCTCCCTGGCCCGGGGTCTGTGCTGGAGGACTGCAGTGCGTGCTCCCCGGCCCGGGGTCTGTGCTGGAGGACTGCAGTGCGTGCTCCCCGGCCCGGGGTCTGTGCTGGAGGACTGCAGTGCGTGCTCCCCGGCCCGGGGTCTGTGCTGGAGGACTGCAGTGTGTGCTCCCCAGCCCGGGGTCTGTGCTGGAGGACTGCAGTGTGTGCTCCCCAGCCCGGGGTCTGTGCTGGAGGACTGCAGTGCGTGCTCCCAGGGTCTGTGCTGGGGACTGAGGACTGGACCAAGGAACACACTTTGTCCGGCGCGATCACAAAGGGGTCTTTGCGCATTCTCAGCCAGCTGGACTCGCGCTGGTAAACGCTGTGTTCCCTGCTCCCTCGCCCTTCCTCCAGGAAGCACCTCCTTCTGCCCCAGTCTGGATGATGCTTTTCCGCTCACACCCTTGAACCCACATTCCCAGCCCAAGGGGGAGTCCGCGGCCCCGGCAGTGCAGCCTGCAGCACCTGGCTCGCCTTCCTCTGCCCTGGGCCAAACCCTCAGACGCAAGAGAAACCAGAGCTTGCTCAGCTGGCCAGCACTCGGGTTCCTGTCCAAGTGTTTGTGGCTGGGCTTCCTGCTGACGGAAGGGCGGCCTGCAGCTCTCCTCTGACATCCCGAGAGGTGGCTCCCAGGGCCTGGCCGCCAAGCACGTCCAGCTGGCACCCGGCAGAGCTGCCGCGGTGGCTGCACTCTGCGCAGCTGTCCGTCGACATTCACAGGGATGCTGAGGTCAGGCTGCGAGAACTGTAAAGGGGATTCCTTTGGGAAGAGAGGAAGCTGTGAATCAGAGCAGAAACGCTGGAGCTCAGGCTTGTCCTGGGCAGATGGCCAGAGCCTGCCTTACATACACCCCACCTTCCAGACCGACGGACCCCCTTGCTCCACTGAAGCCCGCCTCTCTCACCACCTGAGAACCTTTGCCGGTGTCCCCTCATGAGTCTCTACCACACAGCTTCCCTCGGCCCCAGGTGCACCAGAAACAGAGCCCAGGCACCCAGATTAGAGCCTGTCCTGGGCTATCAGGACCTCATGAAATTTAACTTCATGGAGAACCAGCTTCCCTTTCACAAGTGCAACTTGGAGAGTGAGAATACTTGCTAGGTATAATGTGTTTATTTTCCCAAGTTTCAAGGGCTGTGACATAGGAAACGGAGTCAGACTTACACTATATAGCTCCAGGGGCCTGAATAAGCATAACAGAGACAGAGTTTAAATAAGGAAAAAATAACCCACAAAATAGGCTGTCTCAGAAGGTAGTGAGCATCCTGTTATCAGGGGTATTCAACAGAGATCGCTTGCAGAAACTTTCAAGTGCTAGACTTTGAACTCTGTGAGGGGAGCACCCCACATCTGTCTCCATTCCCTGCTGCAGACACAGCACCCAGCGCAGTGCCTGACAGTTGGTGCGCCGAAGTATGTGTGGAAGGGAGGAAGAAAAAGAGGGAAGGGGATAGAAGATAAAGATGGAGGGAGGAAAAGAGTCTGAGTACTTTGGAGAGCAAACTCTTCCTTTAAGGGAGAGGTTGGACAAGCTGGCTCTTGAGTCCAGCTGTCTCTGATTCCATGGTTCTGAGGTCAGGTTTATAGGTGCCCCCTCCAAAGGGTGTTGTGATATTAGCTGCAAAACAGAGCTTAGCAACTCTCCTCGGAGAGTGCTTGTTTCCAGGCAGAAGCCTTCTATCAGAGCACTCATCCGCAACCTCCCTGTCTTCCATCTTGTCATTCACTGCTACAGAACGCTGAAAAACGCAGAGTCCCCTTTGAAAGATGCAGAGCCCGAGGCTCCAAGAGGAGTGAATAGTCTGAGCTGGGACATCCTCAGGCTCTGGGTTCCAAGTCCAGCACCCCCTCGTCCCATGCCTGTCAGTCTGTCTCACTGCTGGCCTCAGGTCCTTCATCCTTGAAGACTGATGTTATGTTATAACAGAATACCTGGTGTTTGTTTAAGCACCAGAAGTTCCCCTATCTTTTGAGAAACGCACAGAAAACAGATAATCCTCCAAAAATTATCCTCTTTCCCTGCCTCACTCTGGACAGAGAAAATGTTTGGACGTTACCACAAATTGCAATCACCCATAGAGGATTTGGGAATATCTCCAGAGGCAAGTTGACTTTTCAGGGGCTAGTCCTCTGGATCGCCCCGTTGGAGGGATGCGACATTTTTTTTCCCCCTGGGACTTTTTTCTTTTTCTTTTCTTTTTTTTTTTTTTTTTTTTTTTTTTTTTTTTTTTTTTTGAGACTGGAGTGTCACTCTGTTGCCTAGACTGGAGTGAAGTGGTGAAATTTTGGCTCACTGCAACCTCCACCCTCGGGTTCAAGCAATTCTCCTGCCTCAGGTCTTTTGTGAAGGTCTGACTAGCTGACGACTAGGTAGCTCCTGTGCTTGTTTGGCCTCAGATCCACGCCCTGCCCTCCCTCTGCTCTCTTTCGTCACAGGGGACCCACCCCTGCAAGCTACATTTGCCAAGGTCCCCATCTCCCACTGCCAGGAGACTGTGAGGAGGAAGAGGGAGGAAGCTGTCTCCCTTTATCTGACTGCTCCTCCTCTGGGGTCCCAGCTCCTGCCAGGGAATCTCGCCCACGGTTTTAGCTCTCACTGGGTTCTGAAAACACCACCTCCTCTCTCTGTCCGCAGCCCAGGAATGGTGGCGTCTCCCTGTCCTGTGCTCTCTAGGTCACCTTTCCCCATGTTTGCACTTTCATCTTTCAGTACCTTTCCAAGCAGTTCCCCTCTATTAAGGTCTCCAGAACGAATTATGTTTTCTACCTGGACTCTGCCTGTCTCCGTGTCACAGTGAACTTGTTGAGGCCCAGCCCAGAGAGGGTTAAAATGACAGAAGTATGGGACAGTTCAATCTCAACACCGCATTGACGGTCAGAGAGGCAGGGCCAGGAAGGAGGTTCCAGGAAGGAAGATCAGGTCTGTGTTGGCCTGTGCGTGCGGAGGCCGCCCAAGTGCAGCCTTGGCTCTGTGTGGGGACCAGGGGGCCTGGAGCCGGCCCCAGCTGTCCTCCCACAGGCCCCTTTCTTCTCACGCTCAGCTGCACGAGGCCCCACCAGGCCTGGCCTCCTCCGACGCTATGACGCAGTGTCGGTGCCTCTCACGTCCATGGGCCAGACCGTGTGACTCAGCCTCTCAGGGCTCTGCGCGGGCCAAGCTTCCAGGTCCACGTCACCTCCATCAAGGCAGGAGAGGAGGGCCAGGTCCGCATCACCTCCATCAAGGCAGGAGAGGAGGGCCAGGTCCGCGTCACCTCCATCAAGGCAGGAGAGGAGGGCCAGGTCCGCGTCACCTCCATCAAGGCAGGAGAGGAGGGGCTTCCTCAGCGACCTCAGCAAAGGAAGCAGGTGTCTTTGCTCTCCACTCCCAAACCCAGGCCATGTGGGATGCAGGAGAGAGAGCCACAGACTCTGCCTTCTCCTCTCCCACCCACCCCTAAGGCCTCTCACTCCCTCAGGCTGATGGGTTCTGACTGAGACTTTTTTCTCTCTCCTTTTTTTTTTTTTTTTTTTTAGATGGGAGTCTTGCTCTGTTGCCCAGGCTGGAGTGCAGTGGTGTGATCTCGGCTCACTGCAACCTCCAACCCCCAGGTTCAAGGGATCTCTTGCCTCAGCCTCCCGAGTAGCTGGGATTACAAGCATGTGCCACCGTGACCAGCTGATTTTTGTATTTTTAGTAGAGATGGGGTTTCGCCATGTTGGCCAGGCTGATCTCGAACTCCTGACCTCAGGTGATCCACCCACCTCGGCCTTCCACCGCACCCAGCCCTGACTGGGACTGTTAACAGCTTTACCCAAACAGGGACCGAAGGAGAGGCTGACAGTGTTATTCAGGAGCACAGATGCACCAGGTAAGAGGGAGGAAAGCTGCACCTTGGCTTCTGCTACGTGCCAGCCACTGAGCTAAGTTCTGGCATGCATTTCATGTCCTTTCATCAGTCTATAATGGGAGAGAGTCAGTCCCCTAAAAATGCAGCAGGCCCCATTCAGTACATCTTCACTGGCTACTATGCATTCTGCAGGGTTGAGTAAACTATGGGTCCTGCCTTCCAGGAAAGTTAAGGACATAAAGTTTGGAATCACCCAAACCTGCCTGGGTGTGAATCCAGACTCCTACAATTAGTGTTTACGTGACCTTGGGCAAGTGATTCTTGTCCCCCGAGCCTCAGTTTTCTCATCTATGAAATGGGCATCATCATAATCTCATCTCATTGAGTTCTTGAAAGATTCTCTGTTTTCTCATCTATGAAATGGGCATAATGTTCTCATCTCATTGAGTTCTTGAAAGATTTGTGTAAGTAACAAGCTTAGCATGGTGCCGGGCACAAAGTGAACACTCTTCAACAAGTCTGGGCTGTTTCTTGTTGAATTAATGAGTCTAGGATACACGTTCAGTCCTAAGGTAGCACCTGGGAGTAGGAAAGCATTTGGGAAGGCCGCCCCACTACTTCCGTCAACCCTGAGAAGCCTTCTGATCCTCACATAGGATAAAACGCAGCTCTTCCTTTCTCATGTTGGAAATCTCCAGTGACCTGACCTTGGAGGCATCCCACACGCCCTCAGTCCCCCGGCGGGCCCTGCCACCACCCCTCAGCGTTGCCGGATGTGCGGCTGAGGTCCAAGGTTTGGAGAGTTTCCGGGACTGGCCGGGTCACCCTGCGGCTCGGCCGTGTCTGGCAGCCCCACCCTTCCTGGCAGCCAGGCCCTCTGAAATTCCGCCAGCACCGGGGGACGAAGAAGGTCTTGCTAGGATGGGGGAGGGCGGGAAGACGGGGAGCACGAGCCGGCTTTGCCCTCCCATCCAGCCACGCGGAGAATCCATCCCTGGCGGTGCCGACTGCTCCTGCTAGTGGGGAAGGAAGCTCCTCCCGGCACCAGGACCGAGCGCCTCCACCAGGCCTGCTAGAGGATCACACCTCCATCTCACCATAGAGCCCCCCACAGCCGAAAAAGCCCTCCCACATCCAGTTCCCCCAGACACTTGGTGGCTTTTCAGGAGACACGGTTCTAACACCCATTTCACAGAGAAGAGCACTGAGTCCGTCTCTGGCCGTGAGGCTATGGCAGGGCTGGGACTGGAAGCAGGGCCTTTCATTTGACTTCTTGTAGGTTTCTTCCGGGGCACCACTTTGTTTTTGTTTTTGTTTTTGTTTTTTGTTTTGTTTTGTTGAGATGGAGCTTCACTCTTGTGGCCCAGGCTGGAGTGCAGTGGTGCCATCTCGGCTCACTGCAAGCTCCACCTCCGGGGTTCAAGCGATTCTCCTGCCTCAGACTCCCGAGTAGCTGGGATTACAGGCGCCCGCCACCACGCCCGGCTCTTTTTTTTTTTTTTGTATTTTTAGTGAGACGGGGTTTCACTATGTTAGCCAGGGTGGTGTCGAGCTCCTGACATCAGATGATCCACCCACCTCGGCCTCCCAAAGTGCTGGGATTACAGGTGTGAGCCACCGTGCCGTGCCCAGGGCACCACTTTGAAAACTGGCATAGAGGAAGAAATGGCCACCTTCTCACCCATTGCCCACCCCTTTCCGCCTCCACCCCTCACACAAGCCTGACACCACCTTGACAAGAGGACTGCTTCATTTCATTGCCCTGGGTCGCTAGAGCCTAGTGCCCCAGGGTGTGTTGACTGGCTCGCTCCTTTCCTGCCGGATCATCCTGCTTCTTCAAGCTCCACCCATCTCAGGATCAGCCTTCCCTTCCAACCGCAGGCCTGACCCCACTGCTCTACAGGAGGAAAAGGCGCTCTGCGCTTTGTGGCCGGATCCGGGGTTCAGCAAGTCTCATCCTGGAGCTACCTCCATCAGAGTCAAGCTGTGCAGAGGCCCGGGGCAGCTCAGATGCTTGGGTGGGGGTGGCGAGGCACGGCTCCTGCCCTGTCAACAGAACCCGCAGAGGTCTTCAGGCTGCCCCCTTGAGAGCAGACTCTGTCACCCCTGCCCTGGCAAAGACCAATTGGAGAGAAGCCATTTTGGAGCCAGTCACTCATTAAGGAGGGGGAGGTGACCCTTGCCCTGCCTTCTTCCCTGAAAACAAAGTCCTTCCTTTGAGCTCTCCAGAGGCTGGCCTCCTGCACTGAATGCAGCCACAAGCAGCCCCCAGGGAGCCCCAGGTCCTGGGGACAGGCCCCAGAGGCCTGGCTTGGAGACCCTGGCTTGGAGGCTCTCCCAGGCCTTGGAGCCTGCTCTCTTCCCTGGGATAGAGGGGAGGGCCTGCCACCCGCCACCCGCCTCCTGGATCCTGTCATGGGACAGAGCTGGGCCTGAGCTCAAGGACAGAACAGGCAGACAGTGATCTGTGTTTTCTGGGAAGACAGCCAGTCCTCGTGCCCTCAGGCTTCCGGGCACTGAGGAGTATGGCCGAGCAGTCACCCGCCGCCCTGGCTCAGCCCCCTCCAGGCCCAGGCTGGGTGGGCACACCCCGTCCCTGGTATCCAGGCCAGAGAGCTGCAGCAGGAGGGGCCATCACGCTGCTCTCTCTCCCTCGCCTGTGGCTTCATAAACTAAACAGTACAGCATCAAGGGGAGCGGGCATGCAGGCTGAGCTCTGAGCCGTGCCAGCCTGTGCCCCAGGACACACAGAGGCATCGTTTGGTGGGTGCACCCTGAGCATGTCTCATCCTTTCCCCCTCAACGAGGCTGAGCTGCTCAAGGGCATGGGAAAAGCACTAATTTGGCCTCAAAACAGCATTGGGTTCCAGTTCCTGGGCAGTGCTGCCATCCACCCGTGGGACCATGGCGAGTCATTTCATCCCCTGAGCCTGTTTTTTCAGCTGCGCCGTGGGGCAGTAACCTCCGCTGTGCCCCTTCCTAGTTGCTCAGTCTTATGGTGTCAGGCAGCTGTGAGAGTACCGAAGCCATGATACTCCCACGAGAACTTCTCCCTACTTTTTTTTTTTTCTTTTTTTTGAGACGGAGTCTCACTTTGTCTCCCAGGCTGGAGTGCAATGGTGTGATCTTGGCTCACTGCAACCTCCCCCTCCCAAGTTCAAATGATTCTCCTGCCTCAGCCTCCCGAGTAGCTAGGATTACAGGCACCCGCCACCATGCCCGGCTAATTTTTTGTATTTTTGTAGAGACAGGGTTTCAACATGTTGGCCAGGCTGGTCTCGAACTCCTAACCTCAGGTATCTGCCCGCCTCGGCCTCCTAAAGTGCTGGGATTACAGGCATGAGCCACCACGCCCAGCCTCTCCCTACTAGGGTTTCATAAAATCTTATTGACCTGGTTTCATAATTCAATTTCACATATGAGGAGAAATGAAGGCCAGGGAGGGTGTAAGTCACTGGCCCGCAGATTGGAGCTGTCCTCAGGCATCCCTGGAGGCCCAACGAGCAGCCCGGCCAGGCCCGTTGTGGTTGACAGAGTTGGTGTCTGCCCACCCGAGGGCAGGACAAGTGGATGACCCCGAGCAGAGCCCCAGTAGGGAGCTGTAGGGGGCCTGGAGCTCACCTCTCATTCTCTTACTTAATGGAGAGAACTGCCCACCGCTCAGAGGAAGCGAGGCACTCTCCTGTCCCGCTCTCCCTGTGGGCTACTCAGAGCAAACCGAGGGAACCATGTTTCTAGGAAAGTAAATGGAGCTTGGATAGAATGGGGAAGGGGGTCAAAACCAGGTGCAGGAGAACCGTGTCAGGTGGTTCAACCCTGATGGTGAGAACTATCTTCCAATAGCCAAGGGCAGTCCTACAAGAAGGGATTGGACTCTATCTGACCCCAAAGGGTCTGATGAGGGCCCTAGAGCAAACGTCTATGGAGGGCAGATTTTGACTGCTATAGGAACTTTCCAACAGAGGACGGACTGATCCTTGGCCGGCACACCTCCGGTCACTAGAAGTGTCCGTGCTAGATTGGACACACATGGTTGTGGGGAGGTGATTCTGGAAAGGAGATCACGAGTTAAGGATATCAGAGGATCCTCCCACTTCCTGGAGATTCCAGGCTTCTCTGTTCACCGCGGGCTGTGAGGTTATCCCTGGTATTAATTAGCAAGTGCTGCCTAAGAGGGTTATTTAGAACATAAGTGCTTGGCCAGAGCGTCTGCTGGTGCCGCCCCAAGCGCTACACATCTTGTACACATTATCGACATGTAGGAGCGGCCTGGGCGTCCATCAGGACAGGCAGTTTAATGGGTTATACATGGTTCTGTTCCCACGTAACTTTCTGCGTATGCAAAAAAAAAAAAAAAAAGCATCTCTTTACCCTCGCTAAGAGCCCACGGGGGCGCCTCACACTTACTGCCACGAAGTAAGCATGTGACCTTTGCAGTGCCAGGAAAAACAAGTCCGAGCAAGAAAACAACCCACCCTGAAATGCGGTGGGCCGACTGCTTAGGGCTGGGTGGTCCCCCAGCTGCCACACACGAGTTTGATGCGTGGCGTTCACCGGCCAAAATCCACACCCTAGCCACCCGAGGCAGGAGGGGAGGAAAGTGCCAGGCAGTGGCCCGTACCTAGGGAGGCTGCCGTCACTCTTGAGGCTGGAACTGCAAAGCTGCGTGCAGCTCCCTGCCTGTCCAGCCACCCCATCGGCCTGGAGCTAGGCCAGCAGGCGGCCAGCTGTGGACTGGCTGCAGGTGTGAGGAAAACCAGCAACCAAGTGTCAGGAGGGTGGAGGAGCAGCCTTCATCTTAAAAGGGGGCCCAGCCCAGGCCCCCAGGAAAATGCAGCTCTAAATGACAGGGTGCTG
This sequence comes from Homo sapiens, assembly GCF_000001405.40. NCBI lineage: Eukaryota > Metazoa > Chordata > Mammalia > Primates > Hominidae > Homo > Homo sapiens. The sequence goes on from NC_000003.12 coordinate 194,273,770, forward strand.
GGCTCCTTCAGGCAAATTAATGTCATCAGACCAGGTTACATTTCATCCTGTTTTCATCTGAACCACAATGGATGTGCATGGGAAGGGCTGCAGGTGCTCAGATGTCACCCGGAAGAAGTGAAGGACAGTATCTCACAGGACCTAGAAAACAAGAGCGGGAGAGCATCGTGCCCAAGGCCTGTCCTGGGACAAATCAGTGGCAGAACTAGATCTAGAGCCACGTCTCCAGAGTCCCCATTCACTTTCACCAAGCTCCATGCCACCTGAATGACAGGTTGGAGGAGGTAAGCCCAATCTGATACCTGCTGCTTCTGGGACCCACCTGACGTGGTTCTCTCTCTCCTCCCTCTTCAGACCTTGGAGCCAGTGCTGTGCCCTCTGCCTGGGATGCTCTTCATGTCTCTGCAGCCAGCTCCTCGGAGCATCTCCACCTCCGCTCAGATGTTGCCTCCTCCAGGAGGCCTTTCCTGACTGAGCTCTCTCTGCATCACTGCCTCAAGCTAATTTTCTTTAGAGCACTCTCTGATGTCTTCTTGTTTGTTTCTGTGTGTGTTTCATCTGTCTCCTTACCTGAAAATTTAAGTACCAGGAAAGCAGGCACCAATAGGAGCTCAACAAATAGAATATAGTTGAATGACCAAAAGAGAATTTCATGTTGAATTGCCAGCGGCCCAGAGTGCATGGGGATTATGAATATTGGTGGAGATATTTTTAAACCTTACATTTTGAACCATGCGAGGTTCTCCCTCTGGTGACTCACAAGGTCCCTGCCGGCACCTCCAGGCTTTGTGCTCACAGATCCTGAGACTTCACAGGGAAAAGAGGACAAAAGTGGTTTCCTGGTCCCTTAAAGAGCCAATGGGATTTTCTGAGAAGAACCTTTCTTTGTTTTCCTTCTCACTCAAGAGAGAGGGTTCACAGCCTGCTCTCCCCTCCCTCCCGCCTCCCATAATTGCTTCCCTCCCTTCTTCTTCCATCCTGAGTATTTGTCATTCTCTGCTTGTGGCAAATTGCTTTTCACCTTTGAAAACCAAGAATGGTTGCTACCCAAGACAGCCTGGAAGTTTTTTGCAAGCAGGGAGGTGTTTAGCAATAGAAGACACTGTTGATGACTCTCCCCAGCTGTGGCATCACTGAAATTCAATTTACTAAGCATTTATGGACAGCCTATGAGATGGGTACTGTGGGGGATAGCCTGGTGATGCAGAGGTGGGTCTTGCCTCTTAGGGACTCTCAGGCCAGTAAGAAAGAGATCATTTTTACTCAAGAGATGTTTTATTAAGTGCTTGCTAAAGGCCAAATACTGGTAGGCCTACAGTGAATGAGGATTCGCCTTGCCCTCAAGGAGTTCATTGTCATGTGAAGAAGGAGAAATTACTGACAATTTCAAACTTCAGTTTTACATTCTGTGAAGGGAGACATGCAGATGAAAGGAGAGAGTGGCAGGGAGCTAAGGGAGCAGACGGGAAGTTCAGCTGCACGGAGAGGTGGGAGCTAGGCAGGACGAGGGGGGTTGGTCATTAGTGGGAAGGGGCATCAGGCAGAGAAACGCCAGACTCCTATTACATCTTCCACTGTGCGGGGCAGAGGTGGGAATGAGCTTGCTTGGTCCAAGGACTGAAAGGAGATTTGTGTGGCTGGAGAGGAGGGAGGAAGTGGACAGCATGAGCCAAGCCAAGGCTGCAGAGGCTGGCAAGGGAAACACCGAGGCCAGGAGGCCAGGAGAAGGTTTGCAGAATGGTTAGTGTTCAATCGCAACAAAAAGCCAAGGGGGCGGTGAAAGACAAGGCTAAAATATCTGTTAGGCCCAAGATCACGCCAGCAAGGGGAGTCCAGGGACCCTGGGGCTGAAGGGGGAAGGCTGTCGGTGCGGACCCCAGTCTAGAGGCTGTTGCAGAATAAGTGATAAATGACAAGGGCCACAGCAGAGTGGCAGGGGTGGGGTGGGGATAGCGTGGGGGTAGTGTGGGGGTGGGGGTGGGGTGGGGGTAGGGTGGGGGTGGGGTGTCATTGGCAACTACAATAATAGTAACACCATGGTCTTTCCGCTTCCCCCTTCCACCACATGAAGCCCCTGTTTCAAATGCCCTCTCAGACCCCTCCCCAGGTCTTCCCGACTCCCCTCCTCTTTCCGCTCCCCACTGGAGATGCTGCCAGGAAAACAGAGGTCCTGGAGAATACGTTCACTCGGCTACAGGGAGAGGAGGAGGCTGAGAAGCCGGAACAACCAGCTCATCCTGAAAGCAGAGGCCCATGAGGCCCCTTTGTGACCCAAAAGATTCCCACCCTGAATGAGTCTGAGCACACACACGTGTGACCCCACACACACACACTCATTCACTCACTCATAGCCCAGAACTTGCCCCTTATTATTTTACCTGAAATTTCAGCATCTGGAAATTAACTGGAATAAGAAAATCCTTTCCAATAAATGCCCATCCTGACTCGTGCCTTAGAAAGGAATGGTCTGGCTGGGCGTGGTGGCTCACGCCTGTAATCCCAGCACTTTGAGAGGCTGAGGTGGGCAGACCACTTGAGGTCGGGAGATAGAGACCAGCCTGGCCAACATGGTGAAACCCCATCTCTACTAAAAATACAAAAAAAAAAAAATAGCTGGGTGTGGTGTTGGGTGCCTGTGATCCCAGCTACTCTGGAGTCTGAGGCAGGAGAATTCCTTGAACCTGGGAGGCAGAGGTTGCAGTGAGCCGAGATCCTGCCATTGCACTCCAGCCTGGGTGACAGAGTGAGACTCTGTCTCAAAAAGAAAAGAAGAGAAGAGAAAAGAAAAGAAAAAAAAAGGGAGGGAGGGGAGGGAAAGGAGGAGACCCTTGGGAACGGGGAAGTGGAGAAGCCAGGCCCCAGGGTCCTTTGGCATGATCATGAAATATCTTTTTTCTTTGAGAAATGCAGCCCCTGGCTCCAATCAGCTAATTTTCAAACCTTTGATCCATTGATCCATTGGGCAGTCTGGGCTTGCTTGGTTCTTGGTTCAGTGACAGACAGCAGAGGGTGAGAGAAATGGCACAGGGCTGAGAGCCATGAAGTCACTGGGTGAGTCCCTTCCCCTTGCCAGGCCTCAGTTTCCCAGTCTGTAAAATAAGGGGGTTGGAAGGGCTGACTCTAGGGCTGACTCTGACCTTTTCTCTCCAGGCATAGGTGAACGGTGTGACCACACCAGGCCAGGGAAGAAACACGTGCCCAGCCTGCCATCTGCCCTCCTGTCTTGGAGCCAGGTCTTTCCACCAGCTTCCTTCATCTTTTAACACTTGGTGAAAAGGAATGACACGTCAGTCAAAGCCCCTGGCCGGTGCTCATGGAGCATCTGGCAGGAGGAAGCCCCTTCCTGGCTGGCCTCCCATTCATCAGTCAGCGCCGCAGGCTGGGCCAGGTAAGGTTTCAGTGGCTGCTGATGGCGGCTGCCCGGCAAGGGTTCTGGCCAAGTCCGCCCCCTCGTTCCTTTCTAACTGGGCTTTGGGAAGTTTTCAGGACTTCCCAACTCGGCAGCATGCCCACTGCCACAGTCCCCACCCACCCTGCAACATGAGGAAGGCACAGAAGCCCAAGCCAGGCAGAGCAGTGCTCCCTGCATCACCCACAGGCAGCCCGGGGAGCGCGGGCCTCCCGAGAGCCAGCCCAGGCCTGGATGGCCCACTGGGGAGGGCAAGGAGGGGAAGAGGGGAAGGGAGGCTGTGCCAAGGGCTGTGCCTGTGTTTCAGGGACAGCTGTGGAACCTGAGCTGGGAGGCAGCTGTGAAAGGCAAGAAACAAGGAAAGGGGACAGAAGTCACCCGGTCGGTGAGCCAGCTCGGAGGCAGGCAGAGAAAGCAAGAGAAGGGGCCTCTCCTGCCGTCATCCTAACCTCCCAGGTCCTCCCCAAAGGCTCCCAGCCCTTCCCCAGACACTCCCCAGTCTCCTCCCTGTCCCCACCACCATCCCTCTGGCCCTGATTTACAGCTGGGCAGTCACGGGACAGATTCTGGTTAAGCCTCAGAAACATACACCCAGCAAGGGGTTTGGATTTTCTCCTTCCTACCCTCCCTCGAGACTCTTCCGTGGAGGAGGAAGAGAAGCAGATCCAGCCTGGAGAAGCCAGGCCCCGAGGCCCTCTGGCACCCTGACTCCAGCACCCTGGTCTAACATGCAGTAGGAGAAATGAGGTCTGGAAGGGTGAACAGGCAGCCGGCCCCCCATGAGGCCTTGACCTCAGGCCCCGGCTGGGTTGGCAACAGCTCTTCTTGGCTCAGACAGGCTCCCTTGGAAACAAACCTCTGTTACTCACTTCTTTCCTCTAGTTGGCTGACAAGGGAGCCGAAGCTGTTGGCTCAAATCTTTTTTTTTCTTTTTAACCTCTCCTCCATTTTTTTTTCTGCTGCTAAAAAATTTGTTTTGCAAGATATAGTATAAGGCTCTTTTACTTCTTGAAGTTTCTTTAAGAAAATAATGGTGCTTACAAGAAAATTGTGATGACTCCCGGCGTTTGCACAGGACTCTGCTGTGTGTAAAATGCTTTCCTGGGTCTTTGCAACAGCCCCAAGCTGCAGACAAGGCAGATCGTTATCCTGTGAAATCTCAGGGGGACTCTGAGGCTCAGAGAGGAGAAGAAGCTTCCCAGGTCACACCGCTGGCAGGATGAGGACCCAGGGACCTAGATTCTGCCAAAGAAGACCTTGAGCAAGTTTCTATATGGCCCCTCTTGGCCCCAGCAGCACAGCAGGGAAGAAAGGCCATCCTCCCACAGCCAATCCCCCTTTATCCCCTGGGCAACCTCAGAGAAGGGGAAATCGGTGGCACATGGATGTAACTAGAGTTGAGGAACACTAGGGAATGAACTCCTTCTTAGGCCCCACAGGGACAAAAATGGATCCCCTTGTCCCCGCCAACAGGGAAGCGGAATGCCTGGGGCTACACTACTTCTTGAGTAGCTACTGTGCATTCAGGCAGTCTGCAAACATTACCTCCTTTTCTTTTTTTTTTTTTTTTAAGACAGAGTCTGATTCTGTCACCCAGGCTGAAGTGCAGTGGCACGATCTCTGCTCACTGCCACCTCTGTCTCCCAGGTTCAAGCGACTCTCCTGCCTCAGCCTCCAGAATAGCTGGGAATACAGGTGTGCACTACCACGCCCAGCTAATTTTTATATTTTTAGTAGGGGAGGGGTTTTGCCATGTTGGTCGGGCTGGTCTCGAACTTGTGACCTGGTGATCACAAAGTGCTGGGATTATAGGCGTGAGCCACCACGCCTGGCCAAACATTACCTCCTTTTAAACATGACAGCAAACTTCACAGTGGACATTATTCCCCTTTTATAAAATAAGTGAAACTCAGAAAGACGAAGTCATTGCCAAGGCAACACACAGGGATATGTGGAGCCATATTCAAACTCAGGTCTTTTTGACTCCAAAGCCTACGCTATTTCCACTGCCCCTGGGTTGCCACTCCCTGAAACCACCTGGCCCACCGTGCACAGTCTCCCCTGTGGAGGGAGAAGGCACAGACCACAGAGTGAACGTAGGCAGACAGCTCCACGTGGCCTTGAGCAAATCTCGTCCTGGACCCTCAGATAGACTCATGCCCAACACGGGGCTGGGCTCATCGCTTGAGCTCGAGGGTCCTTCTGATGTTTGGCCATCCTTTAAGTCTAACAATCCTGGGCCAAATAGTAATAAAACATTCTATTCAGCTCCAAAAACCCTTCTTTGATTCCTTTCCATGCCCCGCACACAGAGCTGGAAGTCAGAGCGAACATAAGCCACACTTCGTTCTTGTCCTCACCGGGCTCCTAACAAAAGGTGGATGGACCTTGAGAATGACATATGCGCTTCTTCTGACCTCCCATTGCTGTCGGTGAAAATGGGTCATGGAAAGATGGGGAGGTCACAGCCATGACAGCTCAGAGGGCTAGATGCGGGGACTCACCAACCTCCTCTCTCTAGGAAGGGGCAGGGGATCCACGATCCCCACTCTCCTGCCTAGTCTAGAAGCCCCTCATAGAGAGGGGCATAATTAACAGAAGGAGTTCCCTCCCAGCCGCCCGTCTACACTGGGGCATGGGCTTCAACATACAGGACTGTTCTAGGGGCTGGGCTGGGTGTTACACAGACAGTCACACCTCTAAGGCCAAAAGGGAGGTGACAGATGTGAGGAACCCACATGTTGAAGCAGAAGGACCCTCTGGGTAACCTCAATTTCATGCTTGTTCCCAGAGTACCTACTCTGTGCCATTCCTTGTGGCAGGGCCAGGAGAGAAAGACTTCAGAAGTGGAAGTCCCAGCCTTCGAGGGGCTCCCAGGCCACTGGGACAGGTGGACTGTCTCTGGTACAAGGAGAAGTCAAGGGGGCAAGAGCAGGGGAGACAAGGTGCCATTGGGCATGGTGGGGAGCAATCGATTCTGCTTGGGGGACCAGGGAAGGCCACATGGAGATGTCACTGAGAGGGACTTAGAGGGTGGAGGGACTCTGACAAATGGAGTTGGAAGGAGAAAGGCAGGGACAGTTCTACAGAAAGAGCAACAGAAAGTGCATTCCAAAACCCAGCTCAGCCACACTGCAGCCCTGGGCTCACTCAGCTTCTCTGAAGCTATTTCCCCATCTTCAGAATGGAGAAAATAATTCTCTAATCCTGGGAAATACCTTCCTGTGCACGCTCCCCTCACGCCTGCCTTCAAGGACTGCACTCTCTATCTTCTCAGCTACTCTTCCCCCAAACATACCCTTTGGGAAACTAGAAATTTACAGAAGAGATATAAAACATAGAACACAAATGGTGGGACAACCCTTACTGTCAATCAATCAGTATATCCGGACATTTTACCAATAGGGAAACTGAGGCCTAGAGATATTGCTTGACCTGCCCAGGGTCAGGGACCAGAAGGACTAGAAGCTTCTTTTCTATTGCAGCCCTAACCACGTTTGTGAGGGTAACACCTTTGGATCATCTTTCTTTTGAGGGGAAAAGGTCAGCCTTTGCTGTCCACTCCATACCCTGGCTCCTCTCTCCCATTCACGGCAACTTTTTGCATCCACCCTGTTCCACTGGCCATTGCTGTCATGTGTCTGGGTCAGGATTTATGGGCTCAGTCCCCAGCTATGGAAGTAGGTATCAAATGAATGGAATAGCTCCTGCCCCTGAACCAAAGGCCCCAGAATCTGAGGAGGCTTCAGCCTGTCTCACTCATGGGGCCCGAGGGCAGATGTGAAGGAGATGAGGGTCTCAGTTCCTCTGCCCAAGGCAGCCTCCTCCCTGGGGTGCCTGTGTGGAGGACTGACAGGTTAGGGTTTGCCAAGGGAGCCAAGGAATCTCGGTGACTGGCAGGAGAGGACATGGGCCCATGACAAGGTGCATCAAGGACAGGTCATCCTGGGCTGTGAACAACAATTGCTCTCTTGACTAACATCCCTTAAGACCCAAAATTTGAGTGGTAGAAGTCACCAGATGACACCCAGAAGGGCATTTCCAGGCTGAGGCTGTGTCTGCCCGTCATGCAGGGAAGAACAGCTGTCAGGGTTGGGGGCTGCAGCCTGTGTCTCTCTGTGGCTTTGCTTAGACTCCTATTACATCTTCCACTGTGCATGCACCCCTGGATTCTCTAAGGGTTGGGGCTGTTGCTCAGGGGGCAGGCAGTTAGGGGAACTGCTTTGGGGAGAATGTAGGCATCCCAGGCCTCAAAGCAAAGCTACAAAGCCAGGAGCTAGCTGCAGCTTGGCTGTTACCACCTCGCTCGGAGGGCACTGGGAGTGGGAGCGTGAGCGCGCACAGAGGTCAGCAGACATGCCTGCAGCCCGTGGCACTCTAAGCCCCTCCAACCTGCCTCTCTATGTTGGATTGACTGATGCTTCAACCTTGTTGGTTTTCCCAGGACTCTGGGACTGGAGCCGTGTTTTGGCCTCCGCTCACAAGGGGATTGGGTCATGCCACAACACTGTAGGTCCAGCCACCCTGGGAGGAGAGGAGGTCATGTCCAGGGGGGGATCTTGGTGGCACTGAGGGACCTCCATCTGCAGCAAATAACACAAAGCCTCAGACTGGAAAGGACTTCCCGGGCCATCTATCCGGAACTCTTCATCCTATGGAACCACCCTATGGACCACTCTGAGGTCCAGGATGGGGTCCTGCCCCCGACGACCGAGGAGTGAGGGATAGTTTGGAAACCCCGGGTGAGTCAGGAAGGGTTTCCTCTATTTGGGAGGAAACACTGACTTGGAAGCCCTGGGGAACTGGCCCCCACGATAGGGTGGGCAGATGCAAGAGAGGACTCTGCGAGGCCCACCCACCAGGCGCCTCCTCCAAAGCCCACCCATGGTATGGACCACCCCCCAACACCCGTGTGATCCATCCTACATGCACAGTACACATAAAACCAACTCTTAGAGGCCAATTGGAAATTCTTAGCCCTCATTTTGGCCAATAATTGCCAGTGCCTCCCTCAGAAACCATTCCCTGGGCTTCCAGGGAAGCTGAGCAGACCAATGAGAATGACGTCCTGGCTTTTTCTGACCTGCTGTTGCCGTAGGTGAAAAGAGGTCATGGGAAGAGAAGGAGGCAGGTGGCCAGGAGAAAATGGAGGTGAAGGCAAGGTCAGTCCTTCTGAGGGCTTAGGCTCAGAGAATCGAGGTTGCTCTTGACAGTCTCTCCAAGATTTTCTAAAACACCAGGCCAATCAAGACGTTTTTCAAAGCTCCAAGTCGTAAACAAGGGGCAACAGCAGAGCCGTCATTCTCCCATTGTAGTGGGTACCAGCATTACCCGGGGAGGTTGTAAAAATGCAGATTCCCAGCCCCTTCTCCAGATTCAGAAGGACTGGGTAAGGGCCCGGCACCCGCATTCTAACAAGCCCTCTGCTTCTGTGATTCAGGCAGGGTGGGAGAGACCAGAGGAAGATACGCTAAGAACCAGGGTGGCCTGAGTCACCAGGGAAGTTAAATTGTCACAAGCAGTGACATCTCGGGCCCCGCATCAACAACGAGGCTGTGCAGCCTCCAGGGCTCAGAGGAGCACAGGAGTGTGTGCCTACTGCCTCTGCAGCATGAGGATCCGGGGACAAGCCCAACATGGAGCTGAGGGAGTGTCAAGATGCTACGCCTGAGCATGCAGCTGTGCTCCAACGAGTGAGCCAGGCGAGAAGGCTTGGGTGGGAGAGGAGCTGGGGCAGAGCCAAGGGATCAGAGAAGCAGGAATGGACAGCAGCACAGGATGGAGTGAACAGGAGGGTGGTCTGGGAGAGCCAGACACAGTGGGCTCTGAGCTCCCAGCCGCACAGGGCCTGCCTGGGGCACAACAGAACACTTGCTGAGGGAGGAAGGCAAACACTACGGAGTCTGCACAGGCCATTACAGCTGTGCAAAGAACACTCACAAAGAGAGCTTGGAGAGATGTAAATAGCTACATTTCGTGATCATCGGGTTCCTTTTTTCCATAAACTTTGCCTAAGTTCATAATAAAAAAAATAAACACGGGCAAATTACACTTACTTCACCCAGTCATTTCTGGGTGGTAAGTTCTGTATTAAATTCAGAATTCATACGCGTGGGTTGAACTTCCCATATCAGCCAAAAAGCGAGCCCTGGGGAGAAGGGCAGATGTGGAGGTTGTTATACTCTCAAACAGCCCCTTAAATGGCCCTCTGTCCCCACCAATTCTCTGTCATCACTGCGTCCCCTGCTATGTCCATCCCGCTCATACCAGAAAAATCTGCGCTCACAAGCAGGCAGAGGTTTGCCAAATTCAATTCTTCTGGTTTATTTGTGGGAAATGGGAGTGAGAGGAAGTCTGATGTAGTGGAAAGAGCACTAGACAAGAAGTCAAAATATTTGAGTTAATTTCAAGCACTCACTTGTCCTTTGTGAAATTGGGAAGTGACTTTCCCCAGCAGGCCCTCGCTTCTCCCAACTGCATAGTACAGGAGGGCATGAGTGATCTGTTGCTGCATCACGATGGCCCCCAAATGCGGCAGCTTAAAGCGACAAACATCTACCATCTCACAGTTTCTTGGGGTTAGGAATCTGGGAGTGGCTGAGTTGGGTGGTTCTGGCACAAGATCTCTTATGAGGCTGCAGTCAAGATGTGCTCTGGGGCCACAGTCAGCCCGAGGTTACAGTGGGGGAAGATCAGCTTCCAGGATCACACGCATGGCTGTTGGCAGACTCAGAAGATCCATTTCCAAGCTCCTGCATGTGGTTGTTGGCAGGCCTCAGTTTCTTATGACAGAGGCCTCCCCCTAGGTTGCCTCATGACATGGAAACTGGCTTTCCCCAGAGCAAGTGATGAAAGAGACAGAGACAGAGACAGAGACAGAGACAGAGACAGAGACAGATGGAGAACCCAAGACAGAAGCTACTGCCTTTCCATAATCTAATTTCGGAATTATCCAAGTGACTATTTCCAAGTGACATCCATCATTTCTGCCATATTCTAGTCTCTAGTGGACTAGTCACCAACTCCAGTCCACACTCAAGAAGAGGATAATTAAGCTCCGCCTCTTGAGGGGTGTAGTGTCAATGAATTTGTAGACACATCTTCAGAGCCACCACAAGGAGTTTGATCCAGTGACTCTCAAGGTTCCAGGTCTGTGGTTATGACGCCCCGATCCCTGGTACATTAGGCATGGTGAAGAGAAAAGGACCAGAGGTGTCTGCTGCACTTCGTCTAGGTGGGCTGTGTTCTCCTCTCAGTAGAGGGGGCCTGGAGATGAGGGATGGAGATTGAGGAGGTGTGCTTCTCAGATGGATGCACACATCTGGAGGGCTGCCATTCTCCCCAATGATCCCCAAGCCTTAGAGTGACTGCCGAAAGGGTTCTATAAGCACATGGCTGGGGCCTCTGACTTGAGTGCCTCCTGCTGCAGCAAGGAACAAGGTTCCACCCGCTCAGTGGATCTGGGGTCTGGCGGCTGGACATGGAACCCTTCCCAGGGACAAGCCAACCAGAGATGTTCCCAGGCTCCGTCTTTATTCCAAAGGAATAGGGAGGACCAATGCCAGGGCATTAGGGGATGAACCAGGAAGGGTGTAAGCCCAATCCTCTCCTACTGACCAAGGAAAGAAGGGAACAGAAAATCACTTAACATCAGGTTCTCCTAAGAGGTCTTGCAGTGCGAGGTAAATCACCTAAGCTTGGTGTTGGGTACATCTGGGTTTCAGTACGGGCTCTGTCACTACTACCTATGTCCCAGCCACTCTAGGCTTGTTTCCTTACCTACAAAATGTGCATAATGAGAGATTTCATATCATAGAGCTGGGAAAATTAGAGAATCCATTTAAGACCCTTAGAGTAGTGACTAGCACATAATTAGCACTCAATATTATTATTGTTAAGTTTGCAAAAGATATCAGAGCTCATTCAGCTCCACTGCACACCTTGCATAGGAATTCCCTCCAACTGATGATGATAGAGGATGCTTGGGCCACTGCTTTGAGGACCTGGGATCTCACTACCTGCCCTGGCAGCCTAGGACCACAGGGCCAGCCCACAGATGGGCAGCTCACACTGGACCCAGAGCCATAATCAGCCTTTCTACGGCTGCCTCCTCCACTTCTCTTCCTTTTGTAACCCAATAGCAAACAATAGTTTTGAATTTAAAGTAGCCCTGTAACACAGGAAAGGAAAAATAAAAGTGCACCCTCCTATTTTAGCTTAGGTGAAATCTGCTTGGCAATCCCCCAAACGTTTGACTCAGCCTCACTTGCATCTTGTTTCATTTTAAAGCCAAGTTATAACTGACACATGCGATCGAAAGCCCGGTATGTTACAGGGATGGGGAAGGAGGATGCCTGCCCATAAGACTAAGTACGACCATTCAGACTGGGAGTAAGCAGATGCGTGTGCTGTCGAGTATATTGGCCGGAGAGGTGTATCTATAACTGGAAGGACACGTGTGTGTGTGTGTGTGTGTATACAGGAGGGTGAGTGGTGTGGACTGTTATGTGCGTGTGTGGATAAGTAGGGGGAGTGTATGCCTGGGCGTAGATGTGTGATGCGCGTGTGTGGATAAGTTGGGGGAGTGTGTGATGCGCGTGTGTGGATAAGTTGGGGGAGTGTATGCCTGGGTGTAGGTGTGTGGGTGTATGTTGGGTGTGTGTAAGTATGTGGGTATGGGTGAGGGCTATCCTGGTGCTCCCTGGCCAGGGCACAGTGATCCCCAACTGCAGAACAGCCACTAATTTGGGAGTGCATTTCTTTTTATACCAACTTCCCCACTCTTTTCAGGAAGCTGCATTTGTTGGCCAGGATTTGAGATTTCTTTCACTGAGGCCTCCGGAGAGACATTCCAACGGTGAACACAGAGCACAAACTCAAGAAATAAAACCACATGTACTGCCTCAAAGGCAACAAGGCAGGAGGGTGTAAAAAACCCCAGGGGGAGATACAAAGGCTCAAAGTTCTGCAACCCACACCCCTTGGAAAGAGAGTAGGGTCAGCTCCTCTCCCACCCCAAACTCCCAGTTTGAATTTTTTAAAAAAACAGCCTTATAAGCAAACATCTGCCACTCTCCGGCTTCTGAATGAAAGGTGAAGATCAGAAAAAGGAATCTTTGTGTTTTCATTAGGTATTTTAGCAAATGCAATGAGGACATTCAGATTTGATTTCCCTGTTTTGTACACACACATAAGTCGGTGCTAAGAGGATTACTTTTCCTGGAGCTGCGTCCTTCCTAAAGGCCCCCGTCAAAAGAGACCCTTGTTCAACAGTGTTTTCTCTGATTCCTCTGGCTTTTCTTCCTTGCCTCAATGTGCACACATCTAGCTTGCTCCTAAATCCACCCACCTCACAGACTTTGGGATAACGATGGTCCCGGCACTCCATTCTCCTCCTGCCCGGGTTCCTTAATAAAGCTGGAGATGAACATTAGTGCTTGGTTCAGCAGCATCCGAAAGGGAAACGGTGGCCTCCTCGAGCCCTCGATGCCCCATAGAAAAATGTAGCCTTTTTGCCTCTGCTCCGATGAATGGCTTTTCGAGGGTTTTCATTAGGACCGGGTCTGCTGGTGCAGAAAGCCTCACAGATGTTGACATTTTTTCATCCCTGGGTTAAGATGTCTTCCATAAGCTTTTATTCCTCATTTGTTACTTCTTTATTATCCGGGAGGTTTTGCCTCCTCCCTCTTCTCCTTTCTCTGAAGAGAGCAGCGGTAGCTGAGCCCGTCATTATCTCGGCCCTTTTCTCCTGCCTCCAGAGGCAGCCCGGGACTCGGGTCCCATTGTGGCAAACAGCAGGTAGCTGAGGCAGGCCGGGTCACTCCCCAGACCCTTTTGTGCGGCCGTCCCCTCCTCCCTGCAGCTTGGTTCTGGGGATGTAAAAGGTCAGGAGCAGCCAAGCTTCCATACCTGAGCTTTTGTCTGGGGCTGGAGGCAAATGATTTTAGAAGCAATTTCTTGGAAAGCAGCCTGGAGACTCCCGTCTCCCTCGTTAAAATGCACAGCTGTACTCCTAGCCCACTCCTTGGGGCTGGGGGTGAGGGGACAGGGGGATTAGCTCAGATCATCTGGATCCAAAAATGCCCTGAGAAAAAAACTTTCTACCCAGAGGATGGTTGAGACAATTCAAATAGAAGCCTAGAGCCCTGAGATGCTAAGCAGTGTTTTGTGATAAACAGAGTGTGGTGTTCTGTCACTTTTGACTCTTCTTTGTTTTTAGTCGTAGCAGCCTGCAGCCTCCCTGCAACCTCTCTTTCCTTACCTGTCAAATAGAAATGATCCACCCTCCCTACCTGCCTCACACAGTTTACTAGTTATTCTGTGGATCCAAGGAGGTGATATAGAAACTGTTTTGCAAGCCATAAGATTCCATACGGCATTCACCATTTTTGCCCTCTGCTGGCTGTATGGACCCTGACTTGAATATAAGCCATCCCATAATGCAGTTAATTTTTCTGAAAATTATAGAGCAGAGATACAGGCAGATTTAAGGGCCTTAGGGCATGTGGTTCCAAGCCCTGCCCAAGCTTATGCTTTGCAGGTGAGGAAGGTCTCGGGGCAAGACAGGCTTTCATGGTGGTAAATTCCTTGAGGTTTGATGTAGCTCCCCTTAGAAGGCAGCTATGGGAAGCCACCTGCAGAAAGCTGGTGTGCAGATTTATGTAGGGAAAGATAAAAAGGGCCCAGGGGTGCTCACCAGCCACCAGCTTAATATAAGCCTTTGCAACCTGGCTGCCGGAAGAGCCAATGGGAGCTTAAGCTGCCTACCGGAAAGAAGGGGGTCCCCCAGGCTCCACCCAGGGTGCTGAGACCTTTCTGGACATCACATCTGGAGAGAACTGTGCAGGTACAGAATTCTGCTCAAGGGAAAGAGACTAGGATCATGAGAGGACTAGAAATCTCACTCTTACAAACACTGGCTGGGGAAGCTGAGGCTGCTTCCCCTATTTGAGAGTTCAGGGATATTCGTAGGGAAGGGGAATCGGGCTCATTCTGTGTAGCCCTAGGGACAGACACTGGGACTGCAGAGTGGAAGCTGAAATGAAAGTGTTTTGAGCACATGAGAGGAAAATATTTCAAATGCCCAGAATTTAAGAGAGAGTGAACAATCTATCACTAAGGGTAATCTAGCAAAGTGGGATACTGGGGAGAAGATTCATCATCCCTGAGCATTCATTTAGGGCTTACTCTGTGTCAGGCCCAACATGTCCTTTCTAATCATGAAATCACTCCATTCTTTGATTTATTAAGAAATATAACATTCCTTTTAAACAACCAGGTCTCACAACTCACTATCACGATGGCAACACCAACGGGGATGGTGCCAAACCATTAATGAGAAGCCAGCCCCATGATCCAAACACCTCCTACCAGGCCCCACCTGCAGCACTGGGGATTACATTTCAACATGAGACTTGGGCAGGGAAATAGATCCAAACCGTATCAACAAACATAGGCAAATCACATCTATTTTAATATACTAGCAATGAATACATGGACAACAAATATAAAATATAATGTATAATCAAGAAAATGAAATATTCAGGTGTTAATATAACATATAATCAAGAAAATGAAATATTTAGGTGTAAATATAACTAAAGATGTCCAGCACTTATGTGTTGAAAACATCAAAATGCTAATGAAAGAAATCAAAGAAAAATCTAAGTAAATGGTTGACATATGATAGTCATGGATAGGAAGAGTCAAAATAGTAATGATGTCAAATTTCCCCAAACTGATATACAGGTGCAACACAATTCCAATCAAAATCTCAGCAAGATTTCTGTAGATGTAGACAACAAGCTTATTCTAAATGTATATGAAAAAGCAAAGGGAGTTGAATAAGTAAAACAGTTTGGGGAAAATAATTTGGGAAAAGTCATATTACCTGATTTTAAGACTGATTAGATAGCATCAGTAACCAAGTCAGCATGAGGAATAGATACAAAGATCAATGAAACAGAATAGAGAACCCAGAAATGGGTCCTAGATATTCTAGGTATGAGCCCCACACAAGTAGGGCCAACTCATTTTTGACAAAGGTGCAAAAGCAATTCAATGGAGAAGGGATAGCCTTTTTAAGAAACAGTACTGGAGCAAATAGATATTCTTGGGCAAATAAGAAGAAAGAAAAAGAAAGGAACCTCAACCCCAAAATCATACCTGTTACAAAAATTAATTAAAAATGGACCATAGATTTAAATGTAAAACATAAAACTATAAAACTTTCAGAAGATAACATAAGGACAAATCTTCAGGACCTGTGGTTTAGTGAAGAGTTCATAGACCAAAAGCAAAAAAAAAAAAAAGACAGAAAAAAACTTTTAAGTGATAAATTGGACTTTATCAACACTACAAACTTTTGCTCTATAAAAGCCCCTCTTAAGAGGAAGAAAAGACAAGTTATACACTGGGAGAAAATATTTGCAAACAGCATATCTGAAAAAGGACTCATATCATATCTAGAATATATAAAGAATTCTTAAAACTGAAGAGTAAAAAAATCAAATAATTTAAGTAGACAAGTGGTAAAAGATATATGAAGAAAAATTTTAATGAAGAGTATATAAAAATAAAAAATAAGCAGATGAAAAGATGTTAAACATCACTAACCAATAAAGAAATGCAAATAAAGACCGCAATTAGATATCACCACATATCTATTAGATCAAGTAAAATTTCAAAATAGCCACAATACCAAATCATGGCCAGGATGTGGGGAAACTGGATTTCTTATACATTGCTGTTGGTAATGTAAAATGATTCAGTCACTCTGGAAAACAGCTTGAAAGTTTCTTTTAAAATTACCATACCTCACAGCAATTGCACTTCTAGGTATTTATCCCAGAGAAATGAAAATGTATGTCAACATTAAAACCTATACGTAATTGTGCTAAGCCACTTCATTTTTATTATCCCCAACAGGAAACAACCAAAATGTTCTCCAACAGGTGAATGGTGAAATAAACGGTGGAACATGTATACTACAGAAAACTGCTCGGCAATGAAAAGGAATGAATTATTGATACATGCAATAGTTTGAACTGATCTCAAAGTCATTATGTTAAATGAGAAAAAAAAAAGCCAAGTTCAAAAGGTGACATACTGTATGATTCCACTTATATAACACTCTTGAAATGACAAAATTATAGTGTTGGAAAACAGGTTAGTGGTTGCCAGAGGTTAGGGATGGTTGGAGAGACGGGGATAGGCGTGACTATAAAGAGGCAGCACAAGAAAGATTTTTATGGTGATGAAATAATTCTGCATATTGACTGTGAGGTGCTTACAAATATACACATATGATAAGATGACATAGAACTATACACACACATTGTACCAGTGTCAAATTCATAGTTTTAATATTATACTATAACCATCTAAAATGTAACCACGGGGGGAAACTGAGTGAAGAGCACATGGATCCTCTTTGTACTACCTTTGTAACTTCCTGTGAACTTATAATTATTTCAAAATAAAAAGTTTAATTAAAAATCAGTTGCATTTCTATATACAAGTAATGAACAATTGGGAAATAAAGGTTTAAAAACTTCATTTACAAATAGTACTTAAAAATACTTAGAAATGAATTTAAAGAAAGATGTTCCAGACCTATAACCTTAAAACTACAAAATATTATTAAGGGAAATTAAAGAAAACCTAAATAAATGGAGAGGCATACCATGTTCATGGATTTGAAGATGCAATATTGTTAAAAGTTTTTTCTAAAAACTGACCTATAGACTCAATACAATCCTCATCAAAATCATAACAGACTATTTTGGAGAAACTGATAAATTGATTCTAAAATAATATGAAAAAGCAAAGAGTTAAAAATTGCCAAAATAACTTAAAAAATAAAAGCAAGTTTGAAGTGCTTGCATTACCTGATTTCAGGATTACTATAAAACCACAATAATCAAAATTGTATGGCATTGGCATGGTTATAGATCAGTAGAACAGAGTAGAGAGTGCAGGAATAGACTTGCATTTATATGCTCAATTAATTTTTTTTACAAAAGTGCCAAGACAATTGAATGAGGAATGTATAGTCTTTTTACAAAGTGGTACTGGATATCTTTATGGGGACGAATTAAGTTTTAAACCTTATTTCACATCATATGCAAAATGATCAAAATAGATAATAGACCTAAACATAAGAGCTAAAACAATAAGAATTTCTGGAAGAAAACAGCAGAAAATCTTTGTGATATTGTGTTGGTAAAGATTACCTAAACATGACACACAAAGATTATCTAAACTTAACACAAACAGCAGTAATCATAAAAGAAAAATATAATAAAATAGATTTCATAAAAATTAAAAACTTCTATTCACTTAAGGACACATTTAAGAAAATGAAAAGACAAGCCAGAGACTAGGAGAAAATATCTGTAAAATATATATATAGTGAAAGGCTTGTATGCAGAATAATAAGAAAGCAAACAATACAGATTTTAAAAATGGACAGAATATTTGAACAGACACTTCCCACAGAAAATATATGGGCAGCCAATATGAACACGACTAGGCAACAAGGAAATACAAATCAAAACTACAATGAAATACCCAATATACCCATTAGAATGGGTTTTTTTTTAAACTGTCATCGCAAGGAGTTAGTGAAGATGTAGAAAAACTACACTCTCAAACACTGCCAGTAGAAATGTGAAACGGTATGGCCCCTTTGGAAAAGTGTTTGGCAGTGTTCTTAAAGTTAAACATACACCCATTACATAGCCCAGAAATTCCACTCCTAGGTACTTACCCAAGAGAATGAAAACATAGACTTGTATGTGAATGTTCACAGCAACATTATTCATAACCACATATTCATAATAGCCAAACTCTGGAGGCCGGGTATGGTGGCTCACACCTGTAATCCCAGCACTTTGGGAGGCTGAGGTGGGTGGGTCACTTGAGCTCAGGAGATTGAGACCAGCCTGGCCAACATGGTGAAACCCCATCTCTACTAAAAATACAAAAATTAGCTGGGCATGGTGGCGGGCACCTGTGATCCCAGCTACTGTGGAGGCTGAGGCAGGAGAATCGCTTGAACCCTGGAGGTGGAGGTTGCAGTGAGCCAAGATCATGCCATTGCACTTCAACCTGGGCAACAAGAGCAAAACTCTGTCTCAAAAAATAAATAAATCTGGAAGCAACCCAAATGTCCCTCAATTGGTGAGTAGACAAACTGTGGTTATCCTATGAATTACATCAGAGCAGTTTTTCAGATTTTTTAATGGGCTGGGACTCAAGGCAAAAGCAAAAATGGAATTGATTTAAATAAATAAAAATAAAAGATTTCATCTTTTCTTCCCCTCTCACAATCCCCTCAGGTCACTCTCTGACACACAAAGGAATGGCAAAAATGCAATCCAACATTGAATCATAAATTACTAGACACCAGCAGCTGTGCTAGGTGCTGGGACACCAAGAGGGATCATACCTGGTTTCTGCCCTTGAGAAGCTCACAACGTAAACAGGGATAGAGGTGGGTGCACAGTGAATGCTCATACAAATCAGACTGCAGCGCGGCAAAGCACAAGACAGTGCTTCACTCGGCTGGGGGGATAGTCAGTACTGACTGTGTTAGGAGTTTGAAGACTGTGGCCTCACAGAGGAGGTGACAATGAGTAGAACCTTGATGAGACTTTTTTTTTCTTTTGAGAGACAGGGTTTCGCTCTGTCACCCAGGCTGTGGCAGGAGTGCAGTGGCACAATCATAGCTCACTGCAGCCTCAAACTCCTGGCTTAAGTGATCCTCCCACCTTAGCCTCCCTAGTAGCTAGGACTACAGGTGCACTGCCACACCTGGCTAAGTTTTTTAATTTTTGTAGAGATGGGATCTTGCTGTGTTGCTCGGGCTGGTCTCAAACTCCTGGGCTCAAGCAATCCTTCCACCTTGGCCTCTCAAAGTGCTGGGATTGCAGGAATGAGTCACTGTGCCCAGCCAGGATAAGATAAATTAAATAAGCAGAGAAGGTGGAGAGATGTGGCAGAGGAAACGGCAGAGGGAACATCCCAGCAGTGCCCCCTGTGACATTTGGGGGAGTCATGGGTATTTTGATGGGGCAGGTGCTTAGGAGCAAACTAATGGGAAAAGAAGCAACGCAGAGCATTTGGTCCCTGGTTTAGCTGTTTGCTGTCTGATGTTCTCTGTGTTTGGGCATCAGCGTCCAAGCCCTGCTTATGCCCACTGGGCCAGTCTCTCAGGAGAGCAACAGGGTACCCTATACCTATTCATTCAGAGCCAGCAGCCAGGTGATTACTCAGCATAAAGAAACTTCTTTTGAGCCACATCATCCATGACATTGGATCCAAACTGCCAAGTCCACAAGGCTGCAAAATTTCCCCAATGTATTCATTTGGGTTCCAGTTAAATGGACAATAATGATCCTTTAGGAGTGTGTGGTGAAGTGTGAACACATCCAGCACCTTCTGCTTTACAAAACACTTTCTCACCTGTTGACCAGATGACTCTACCCATGCTCCCACCAGTTAGGGAGGCAGAGAAAATGTACCCCATTTGATAGATGAGGAAACAGGCTAGAGTTGCCAACTAGGTTCAAGGTCGATGTCCCCTGTCATAGTGGCTGAAGGACATAAACAGTGTGAAGGTCAGGGGCGGGAGAAGAAGTGATTTATTGACCAGGTCTCCATCCAGCCTTTTTGGGATATGACTCTTTCAGCAGAATGTCAAAAAGTCTAATTTTCTGTGGACTCCAGAAAAGTTGATTTTGATCAGATCAACAAGCCACCTCAGAGTGTTGAACTCATACCCTCTGGCTTTTTCTGCTAATGACTATGAAATTCACATTCAGTGATGAACCTCTTCTCAGGATGGAATGCTTTTATAGTAATGCCAATTAATAACTTTCTTCTTCTCCTAGCCCTCTTTGTGATGTTGAATCACAGGGCATAGATGCTGGCAGGGCTTTAGAGGCACTAGTAATGTGGTTTTTAAATTTTTTTCATTGACTGATCAGCATCTTTCATCTCCTTGGTTCATAACCTGTGAAGTAGGCAACAGCCTGGATCATTATCCCCATCTTATACGCGAAATAACCAAGAAAAAAAGCGGCTAAGCCACTTACCCAAGTTGTAGAGCTAGGTCTAGAACATGTCTTATGACTCCCAAACAATGCTCAATCTACTACATCAAACTTCCTTTCTCTTCCACCCTGCAGATTAGATGCAAATTACTACATGCTTGAGCTTCACCGAGAAGGAAACCAGCTCAGAGAGGAGTAGAGGTCTGGCCTTCATGGCAGTGTGGGAGAGCTCCTTGACTCTTACCCTCCCTCCAGAGACAGAAACAGTTTCCCTTCAAACCATCATGAGGATTGTTGCACGCCAGCTCTGTCTTAACTTAAATATGACTCCAGGTCAATATCAAAAGGAAGGTGACAGTGTCCACCTACCCATTCCCCAGTAGCTGGCCACATTGTGCCGTCCTAGCCACAGCTGAGCCTGCTCCAGGCCATTCTCTTGAAACACATACTAGCATCCTCCCCCGAGCCCAGCTTCCACTGACAGGCAGGCTCTGAATCCAGCAGGCTGCTGCCTGAAGCAGCTCCCAGCAGGAGCTAGATGGAGGCCGGCAAGGTTACAGGTGCTTTTCATCCAGCCTCACAGGAGAGCACCAACTTCCTGCTGCTAGAAATTTGTCTGCAAATTTTTGTCTTCATTCAAATCGATGGATAGAAGCCGGGAGACACTGGGGTGATATGATAACTTGATTAAGCCCCAGAACAGATGACACGGTAGCTTAAAGGCCATGTGCTCTCCTCCTTAACCTCTCCCAGGGAGACCGCAGGCTTTGCTAGTAATTGGCCCATTGTCCTTCCACTGCGATTCCTGCACAAGCCGGGAATCGCCTGGCTAGGGGCTCCTCTCTGGGGCAGCCTTAAATACTCTCAGACCAGTCAGGCCTAGGGAACTGTGAAAAATACCTGTGCAATGGAACATACCAGAGTCACATTCTGAGAAGCTAAAAATGACCCTTACTGAAAACAATGACCTAGGATATTCTCCCATCCTCAAGCACAACTGTAAATTGCAACACACACAGGGATGAAAGCCCAAGACTGTTAAAAGGTGTTCAAACTTTTAGAATATTCCGTTCTTTTGGGGGAAAATCCCCCTGACCTTTCATTTTTGTCGAGGTTGGTGTCTCCTGCTGGATTACCCATTATTGAGAATGTTTTTGATCAACCACTTCCAGATACTCTGGCATTCACTGGTGTGAGCCCGTCTTGGGTGAGCTAAGGTGGATACCTGTGTATATCATTGCCTCTGGAAAAGAGATAGGTGGGTTCCAAGCCAGAAAGAAGAGTGCTAAATAGAAGATATAAGTAGAGCTGGGCGTGGGGTCGTGAACAGTGGCTCAGGCCTGTAATCTCAGCACTTTGGGAGGCTGAGGCGGGCAGATCACCTGAGGTCAGGAGTTGGAGACTGGCCTGGCCAACATGCCAAAACCTCGTCTCTACTTTAAAAAAAAAAAAAAGGGCCGGGCACAGTGGCTCACGCCTGTAATCCCAGCACTTTGGGAGGCCAAGGCGGGCGGATCCCGAGGTCAGGAGGTCGAGACCATCCTGGCTAACATGCTGAAACCTCGTCTCTACTAAAAATACAAAAAAAAAAAAAAAATTAGCCAGGCGTGGTGGCGGGCGCCTGTAGTGCCAGCTACTCGGGAGGCTGAGGCAGGAGAATGGCGTGAACCCGGGAGACGGAGCTTGCAGTGAGCGCGGCACTGCACTCCATTCAGCCTGGTCGACAGAGCGGGACTCCGTTTCAAAAAAAAAAAAAAAAAAGTAGCCGGGTGTGGTGGCGGACGCCTGTAATCCCAGCTACTTGGGAGGTTGAGGCAGGAGAATCGCTTGCACCTGGGAGGCGTAGGCTTCGGAAAGAGGAGGCTTCAGTGAGCCGAGACCGCATCACTGCACTCCAGCCTGGGCGACAAAGCGAGACTCCATCTAAAAAAAAAAAAAAAAGATGTAAGTAGATATTTGCTGTGATGATAGTTTTGCATTCTATTTTAAAATCTTCTGTCAGTCTTTGTTCAGTGATAGACTTAAGACATTTAAGAGCTGAGAGGGAGCGGAACACGAATCCCCTCAACCCATTTTTTTTTAGGAATATATGAGAGGAATAAAATTCGCTACTGTCTGCTCAAAGTTTGAGTTGGACCCTTGCTGGGGAATGTGAAAAACAAAGCTGTTGGTGACGCTTTGAAAATCAGCAAGGTGTACTATTAAAGGTTAAATAAATGCTATTTTAAATTCTCATTCATTATGATTTATTGCTCAAGTCTCCCTATGAGAAAGAGGGCTACAGTATGCCAACATCACCCCTTTCTGTCTTTGTCATGGGAATGGAATGTCTTTTGAACTGCTAAAGTAGATAATTCCATGCCTGGAAGAAAAACGAAGGCAGGGGGAGGGGAGAGTAGAAGGAAAAAAGATCCTCTCATTTCCTAATAACTGCAAAGGCCAGGAATGTGCCACAGCGGCATTCAGGAAAATTCGGCGATGCGTGCCACCGTTGGGTGCGCGCCCCGTCCCTCTAGTGCCAGGTGGGGGACTGGGAAGCCGCCTCTGCCATCTGCCAAGGACCCACGCGGCCTGAGTGATTTACCCATTCCCGGCAATGGCGAGATTTCTTTCTAAAAAAAAAAGAAAAAAGAAAGAAAAAAAAAATCTTTGTTGTTTCACCGTTGGCCTCTTGGCCTCGAAGGGCAGCGCGCGCCCCGCCTGCAGTCCCCCGGGCCGCGCGGCTGGAAAGGCCTCTCTGAAGGGGGCGTTCCGCTCTGCCCACTGCGACTCCGGCCATTGTCCTCATTCGCCCCGCACGGGGACTGAGGAGGGGGCTTTTTAAGTAGTTCCCCGGGAACAAAGGGGACTCAGGCGCCGGGCTTCATTACGGGCTCGTTGGCCACACCAGCGGCCCCGCCTCTCGCCACAGCCTCGGCCACAACCAGCCCCAGCCAGTGGCTCAAGGCCGCCGCCGCCGCCAGCTTGCTGGCTCCTCCCGGCCCTCCCCCTCCTGCCCCCTCCGTCCCCTCCCCTCCAGCCCCGGGCCCCCGCTGCGCCCACGCCCCGCCGGACCGCTCCCGCCTGCCAGGTAAAAGCAGAGCGCCGGGATCCACCCGGCCCCGGGCCGCTCCAGACCTGCCCCACGCCCTGGCGTGTCCCTTTCCCGGTGGGGACCCTCTAGCGGCCTGAGTTTGAGAGAAGATCTAAGCTAAGCCGCCACAGCGAGGGACCACATTGAGAAGATCGGAGCCTGCCTGGCCGTTGTGAGCCTCCTCTCCTGCGGCTGAACAGACCTAACTGACTACAGCCAGGAGTGGGTCATTCGAGGGTCAGGAGAGGTTTTAGACGTAAAATACACACGTGGGTGACCTCAAACATACTCTCTGAGCCTCTTGTTGAACAAAATGGAGCTAGGCAGTTTGGGGTTCTTTGTTTGTTTGTTTTTACATGGAGTCTCACTCTGTCACCCAGGCTGGAGTGCAGTGGTGCAATCTCGGCTCACTGCAACCTCCGTCTCCCAGGTTCAAGTGATTCTCCTGCCTCAGCCTCCCAAGTAGCTGGGATTACAGGCACGCGCCTCCACGCCTGGCTAATTTTTGTATTTTTAGTAGAGAAAGGGGGTTTCGCCATGTTGGCCAGGCTGGTCTCGAACTGCTGACCTCAGGTGATCCGCCTGCCTCAGCCTCCCAAAGAGCTGGGATTACAGGAGTGAGCCACCACGTGGAGCTAGGCAGTTTTAAGAGTGATCAATAATGTATGAGACACGCTCCTTTCTAGTAGGTGCTGCTTAAATCATAATTAGTGTCATTGTCGCATGGAACCTACAGCATCCAACGTAAGAGGCTTTGAAAAGTGCTTCTGGGCCGGACAAGGTGGCTTCCCCCTGTAATCCCAGCAACTCTTGGGGCTGAAGTGGGAGGATTGCTTGAGGCCAGGAGTTCAAGCACAGTCTGGGAAACGTGGCAAGAGCTCATCTCTAAAAAATAAAATCAATTAGCCAGGCATGGTGATGCCCACCTGTAGTCTTAGCGACTCAGGGGGCTGAGACACGAGAATTGCTTGAGCCCAGGAGTTTAAGCCTCCAGGGAGCTGTGATCACAGCACGGTACTCTAGCCTGGGCAACAAAAGAGACCCAGTCTCTTTTAAAAATTTAAAAATAAAATAAGAATGAAAGTGCTCTGAAGTGATGAGGACCGCAATGGAGCGTCAACAGCAGGCTAGGAAATCATAGCACGTGCTCCTCCACTGAGAGAAACCTCCTCCGTGCGCCCCCTGCTCCTGCCTAAGCTCCTCTGCAGAAGGACCTTCAAAGCCTGGGGCAAGCTCCCCCGCAGGTGCTGCACAATGATAAATCCTGATGCATAAGAGCCCCAGACAAGGCTAATGGGCCACGCGTGGGAAGCCAGGAGGTAATTGAATGGAGAGATTTCCCTGGGTGGCTGGGAGGGCTGCTCCACGCTGAACCATGCCAAGCTCCACTGCTCACAGAGGATCTGGCCAGCGCCCGCAGGAAGTGGGTGAAAGAACATTCACTGGTAGAAAAGAGTGCAGCCTCCCAGGGGAGCTTCCCATAGGGCCAAAGAGCTCGCACTCCAGCTCCTCGGTGGCACCCCGGATTAGTTGAAAGGCTGCCCTCATTGGTGCCCGCCCAGAGGACTCCTGATACATCAGATGAGGCCTGGGCAGGCAGGTGGGAAGCACAAACCCACAGGCAGCTGAGAACAGATACAAATCCTCTCCTCCATCCAAACAGAAGACCATTTGTTCCTTCTCCGTTGGGGTGGGCACTGAGGAAGGCAGTTTGTTGCAGAGTGGAGCAGACAGCAAGCTGACTGCTGTCCCCAGATTGCCGCCCACACCTAACCAGGACTAGCCCTGGGAGCAAGGAGGGAAAATGTAGGACAGTGACCAACGGTGGCCCTGCGGATGGGTGAGCACACTCCTACTCCTTCACACAGCTCATACCAGGCACCAGATCCCAGTGATGCTGTGTCATCCACAGCACACCAGCGGTTACACCTGAGGTTCCCAAAGAAGTAATGGATTTGGCATTTTCTTTTTTTCTTTCTTTTTTCTTTTTTTTTTTTGAGACAGAGTCTCACTTTTGTTGCCCAGGCTGGAGTGCAATGGGACGATCTTGGCTCACAGTAACCTCTGCCTCCTGGGTTTAAGTGATTCTCCTGCCTCAGGCTCCCGAGTGGCTGGGATTACAGGCATGCGTCACCATGCCCAGCTAATTTTGTATTTTTAGTAGAGACGGGGTTTCTCCATGTTGGTCAAGCTGGTCTTGAACTCCTGACTTCTGGTGATCCACCCGCCTTGGCCTCCCAAAATGCTGGGATTACAGGCATGAGCCACCGCACCTGGCCGGATTTGGCATTTTCTTTTCTTTTTCTTTTTTTTTTTTTTTTTTTTTGAGACAGAGTCTTGCTCTGTTGCCCAGGCTGGAGTGCAGTGGTGCCATCTCGGCTCACTGCAAGCTCCGCCTCCCGGGTTCACGCCATTCTCCTGCCTCAGCCTCCCAAGTAGCTGGGACTACAGGCGCCCGCCACCACGCCCGGCTAATTTTTTGTATTTTTAGTAGAGACGGGGTTTCACCGTGTTAGCCAGGATGGTCTCGATCTCCTGACCTCGTGATCCGCCCGCCTCGGCCTCCCAAAGTGCCGGGATCACAGGCGGGAGCCGCCCGCCCGGCCGGATTTGGCATTTTCAAAGCACACTATCGTTTTCTTGCTGGATTGATGTCTGGCAAGCTTGCCTGATAACTGGCCTGGGTGTACTTCCTTCTTTGATTTGTATATATTTTAATCTTTTATTTACATGTCCTGCCTATTTTTTTCATAGTGACCGTGAATTAACTGGAACAGTTTTTTTAATTCTTAAAAAAAGAAACAGAACCCATTGAATAGTCTTAGAACTTAGATCTACCAGTGAGAGAAACTGCTAGTTGAGACTAAAATAGAGCTTTAAACTACCAAGAGATGTAGAGGCCCGGGGCGCTTGTGGGCAAGCACGTGTCAGCATGGGGAGGAAGAGGCACAGCCGCAGCCCAGGACCCATGCTGATGCCCTCACCACTTCCATCCTCTCAGATAAGATCATTTCACTCCTGAGAGAGGATCTTCCTTCTCCTAAAGCCTCCTAAACCTCACGGCCCACACCCAGTCTCTCCGACGTGAAGGGACGCTGTCCTAGGGGCGCCGGGGAGCCCAGTGCAGTCTTCCTGAGGCAAATGTGCCGCACAAGGTTTTCCCCATCTGGGATCGGGGAGCAACTGAAGGCCTGGCTGCTGGAATGCTCCTGAAACACATTAGGTGAGCAGGCCTCAGGCAAGGAGGGATGAGGCCCAGGACCGATGACGCAATCTTGGCCTCCGCTAGAGGGCTGGCTTGGGAAGGAGGTGGAAAGCTTCCATAATGAGATTCCCAGCCCGGCTCAGTCAAGCAGAGGCAGTGACTTTAGCCAAGGGCCTTGCTCTGGATGGAGCAGAATCCTACGGGCTGCTCTTGGAAGAACTGGTTTAATCTAGAGCAACACGGTCTCAAAATAAGGGTATTTGTGTACGGGAGGGATGCTTTGGGGGAGAGGAGAGAATATGTAAATATTTTTTGGTGGTGGTTTTAAAAGTCTGGGGAGAAATCTGCTAAATGAAAAACTTAACATACATTTAATATTCACGTGCATTGCATATAATAAAACAGTCCATTTTAAGTCTAAAGTTTTGCTTTTTAAAAACTCTGTGAAAGCTTCAAAATGAATTTTGTTCAACCTCCTCTCTTAACTCGACACTTAAATATTAACTGAACTGTTTCTGAACTCCGATTTTGAACTAGTTAAAAATCTTATTTCATTAGACATTTCTGAAGCCCATAAGATTTCTCCCCAGTGGGGTATGGCCCGCCTGCCCATTGCAGATGAACCAGTACGCTGGCATGTGAGCGGCCTCCACAGCTCATATGCGGCATGTATATAAAACCAGTGTTTAAGTCAACATCACTTTATTTTTTAAATGCTGGTTTTCAGTCTAATTCACAATTTTTTGGAAACTATAATATACTTGATGCTTTTACAGGCTCTCAACATTGATAATACTTGAATCATTGTGGGTGACCTTGGGCTTCTGGAGCTTTAAGGAACAAAGTTAAGTGACACATCCCGTTACAGAAAAAGGTATATTCTGTATATCCTATATTCTATATAACTATGGACTAGTCACCCTCCTTATTCTGATTAGCATTCAAAAGCATCACCACAATACCTCTCATACTCTTTTGACGCGGCATAGCACTGGATATATCTGTTCTGTTTCATTGTTGGACCTTTAGCAAACACTTACTGATTTCCTCCAACGTGCCACGTTCTGTGCTTTCTGTTCTTGAAGCCACATTCAGTAGAAGATACAAACATGGAACAAATAAAGATGGTATTATGTTGTTAAGTGTTAAATTAAAGAAATAAACAGAGAGCAAAAAGGAGGAAGGTACAAACTCTGCCCAGAAGAGGGAAGAGAAAGTAGGGAAGGCTTCCCTAAGGAGGAAGCATTGGGAATGGCTCCTTGCTTTTAGGGACCCTGTCTGGGACTGTAACCACAGCTTCCTGAATGGTCTCCAGCTCCCACACTTCAAGCAAGAGGATAAGTAAAGTTCTAACAGTGTGCTGGGGGACAGCCCTTACCACCACCACAGCCCGCCAGCCCACCCCCGCCAGGCCTGGAGCTCTTCAGCAGGAGTGGGGAATAGCCATTCTGATTAAAAGTGACAGCCAGACCTCTGCAAGATGTCAACAAGGACCCTCCAACAACTAGTAATAAAGGAACACATTCATTTACTAAGCACTGACATTTTGAAGGGTAAATTCTGGTGAACGACACCCACTCATCCCTCTGA
Source organism: Homo sapiens (assembly GCF_000001405.40). Taxonomy (NCBI): domain Eukaryota; kingdom Metazoa; phylum Chordata; class Mammalia; order Primates; family Hominidae; genus Homo; species Homo sapiens. The sequence goes on from NC_000003.12 coordinate 194,302,104, forward strand.
CTCCTACTCTTAGCTAATGACCCTGACAGTCAAGTTGCTTTTGTACCTGCTGTTCCTTCTGCCTAGAGCACCTTCCTCCTCTTTAAGGACAGGCAATATAGACACCAATTCATCCAGGAAGCCCTCCTGATAACCCCCAACTAAGGGAACGTCGACATCCACCACTTCATTCATTCAGCTAAAGCTTACTGAGCACACACCATGTGGCAGACACGAGGGACACAGTGGTGAACAAAACAGACAAAATATACTGCCCTCGCGGAGCTTATATTCTAGTGCATGGAAATGAACAATAAGCAAAATAAACAAGGGAAACACATAGTGTATTAAGATAGAGGAGAATCGGTGGGGGCGGCCCACCCTGGCAGGAAAGTATATTGATAACAGAATTTAGAATTGCTGGTGTGCGGGGCTCATAAAGAGCAAACCCACTTTGAGTTTATTTCACGATTATTTTCAAATTCTCTACAGATGACGCACCTCCTTAGGTCCTGCTCCCAGTCACCATTGAATCAGAATGCCACTGGATTAAAGAGTGACAGGTCAAAGGGAGGAAGCAGAGCAAGGATGGAGAAGGAGGAATGGGTGTTGAACGGGCTGCAATTTTAAATAGGATGGTTAGGGAGGGAGCCGTCACTAAGGTGACAACGTGAGTAAAGATCTTGGAGGGAGGCCGGGCGCGGTGGTTCACACCTGTAATCCCAGCGCTTAGGGAGGCCGAGGCGGGCGGATCACGAGGTCAGGAGATCAAGACCATCCTGGCCAACATGGTGAAACCCCGTCTCTACTGAAAATACAAAAAAAATGAGCTGGGTATGGTGGCTGGTGCGTGTAGTCCCAGCTACTCGGGAGGCTGAGGCAGGAGAATGACGTGAACCTGGGAGGCAGAGCTTGCAGTGAGCAGAGATTGCACCACTGCGCTCCAGCCTGGGCGACAGAGCGAGACTCCGTCTCAAAAAAAAAAGGTCTTGGAGGGAAAGAGTTCCAAGCAGAAGAAACAGTAAGTGCAAACATTGTGAGGCAGGAGAGAGTAAGCACAGAGGAGAGCAGTGAGAGAACCAGAGAGAACAGGGACATGGACCACATGGTCCTTTGGAATGAATGTGGCTGACAGAGTGAGACGGGAGGGAAAAGATGGGATCTGACTTACTTTTTGAAAGGATTACTCTGGAAGCTGTGTGCAGAAGAGTCTGAAGGCAGGGTTGGAACTTACTGGGAAATGACGAGAACAGGGAGAGCCAGCTAGGAGACTCACCGGACTCCAGCCAAGAGCCAAAGGTGGGTTGGACAAGGGGAGGGCAATAGTGGTGACGAGAAGTGTCTGATTTGGAAACGATGCCTCAGTCGAAGGGAGATAGGAACCTAAGAATCAAAGGGGACACAAAGGATTTTTGGACTCGCCATTGGCTGAGATGGGAAATCTGTGGGCAAGAAGGGGTCTGTGTGTGGGCGGGGTGGGCAGGAGCTCAGCTCAGGATGAAATGTCTGTTACCTGCCAAGCAGGATGTCTTAGAGGCAGTGGATTCTCAGCATACACAACTCTGAGAGTCAGCAGAGAAGTCTAATTTAAAGATGAGTGATGGAGAGTTCCAAGGATTGAGCCTTGATGTTCTTTGTCATTCCTTCGCAGGAATCTGAAGAGAAGATGGCAAAAGAGTCTGAGAGGCAGTGGCCAGAAGGAGAAGGAAAGCAGGTGGATGTGAAGAAAGTGTTCAACGTGGAGGGAGGAACCAGCCATGTCAAATGATGCTGACAGCCAGGCAAGATGAGGACCAAGAAATGTCCACTGCATTTAGCAAAATGAGGACATTGGTGACCTTGACAAGAACAGTGTCAGGGATGACAGTGTGATTGGGGTGGATTCAAGGGAGAATGGGAGGAGAGAATTTGGAGATGATGAGTCCAGACAATCATTTTGGAAGTGGTAAGAACTGGGGCCATTCTCCTGGGGGAGGAAGTGGGGTCAAGACAAGGTATCTTTACATGGGAGAGATGGCAACATGGTAGCATGCTGCTAGGAGAGACCCCATAGAGAGGGAAAGATTGATGGTGCAAGGGACAGAAGGGAGACACTGGAGCGATGTCCTTGAGCAGCCAGGAGGGCATGGGATGAATGTTGCAGGGGGAGGGGCTGGCCTGAGCCATGGCGTGAAAAGTTCATCCACAGAACAGGAGAGGGACAGACACAAAACGCGGGCATGCGGTGAGGCAGCGGGTGAGGTGGGGACAGATGCTCGTGAGCATCTCTTCTGATTGCTTTTATCTTCTTCGTGAAGTAGGAAGCTGAGGCATCACCCGAGAAGAAGGCTCAGCGAGTCCGTGTAAGGCAAGCGGGACTGTAAGCTCCATGAGGACAGGAACCTTGTCTCTTGTTCGCCATCGCCCCGCTGTGTGAGCACAGTGCTAGGGATGTACTAGGTGTTCAAAAGGCATATATTGGATGATGAGCTAATGAATGGCAAAATGGGCAGATTATCACAGTACCTGAAACCACAGGACCTCACCCTAAATGGGCACAGGCCAGATGCCCAGTGCTTTTTTTTTTTTTTTTTTTTTGAGATGTGGTCTCACTCTGTTGCTCAGCCTGGAGTGCAGTGGCGCAATCACCAACCACTGCAGCCTCGACTTCCTGGGTTCAGGCAATCCTCCCACCTCAGCTTCCTGAGCAGCTGGGACTACAGGTGTGCACCACCACACCCAGCTAATTTTTGTACTTTTTGTAGAGACAGGGCTTTGCCATGTTGCCCAGGCTGTTATCGAATTCCTGTGCTCAAGTGATCCACCCACCTCCACCTCCAAAAATGCTGGGATTACAGGCGTGAGCCACCATGCCTAGCCTGCCCGGTGCTATTCTGATTCATACACTTATATTTATAGCCATCAAATCTCAGGGCTTCCTTGGGTCCCTGGGCGACCTCTGGCCAGTCTCTTTCCTGCTCTTGCCTCTCTCACCGAGCTTAGAAGAGGCTAGGCTTAGGGCTTCTTGTAAAATGACCAGCTTTCTCTAATTGAAGACCAGGGTACCCTATCACATTTGTATCTATTCTTTGCTCTTTTTCTCTTTCCTAGTGACCCTCATGTTGTCATATTTGTTGCCAAGCTCACTAAGGAGGGCACCACGGGACCAGGGTTGTCACCTCTAGGCAGAGGGGAAGCTTGAAAATGACAACACATGGCCCTAGGATGTTCATAGGCACCATCACAATTCAACTGCTTCCTCAAGGCCCAGGGAATATTTTTCTTTGCAAACTACTAGTATTCTATCAGTATGACTAGTAGTTTAAATTGTTTGGAATCTTCTGGTCCAAGGCAGAGCTGTGGGGCTGTGGAGGCAAAGTCCTGCCTGAAATGGGACCCCCTGCAGGGTGCCTGAAGTCTAAGGGTCTGGGTCCTCAGCCACGGATCACACAGCCTGGAGCCTGTGAGTGGGGAGCCCCTGCCACACTTCCCTCAGCCAGAATCCTAAACCCGCAGGAGTCCCGGGGCTCTGCGACACTCTCTAGCCCAACTCTCTTCAACACCAAACCCCTTATGCATCTGTCAGATGGTCCTTCAACTTCTGGGTGAAGTGCCGGTTTAAAAGTGAACTGCCAGAGAAGCAGTCGCTCCAGATGTCTTCAAAGGCCAGTGTCTGTAACCCCATCTGTTCTTACCTCAAAGGCCAGGCTCCCATCCATCATGATGGGGAGAGGTGGGAAAGGGCTGGCTGGTCCTGTCAACTCCGATAAACAGGTGAAACACTGGCCAGGTGTTCCTGGAACTGGGATCTCCCCTTTTCTCTCCCATGCTGAGCTGCTTCTTGGAAACATTCGCAAGAGGGTGACAGTCTTCCCTCCAGATCCCTTCTTCGTCCCCAGGGCACCAGAATAGCAGCTGACAGCCCCAGCACAAGTCCTTGGATTCTTTGTCATGTTTAAGAGGAGGCTGGCGGGTGGAAGATGGGAGAGGAATCCAATTATTTAGTCAATAAACATGTATTGAGAAGCCAGTGTGTGCCCGGCACCCTTCAAGATGCTTGGGATATCTGAGTGAATGAAACCCACAGGATCTGCTGCCTGTGGGGCTTGCATTCTAGTGAGGGGAAAGGTCAGAGTTCAGGCAGAGTCTTCCTGACACAACGGGCTTCCCTTCCCCCAGGGCAAGAGGGATCCAGCCAGGCTCCTGCTGGGCCAGTGGATCAGTCCCCGATCCACTCCCAGAGCAAGCAGCCGCAGTCAGCAGAGACCCCACCCTCCAGATCTGCCAAGCACATCGGCTGACTCCAGCCCCCAGAGCCACAGAGCCACTCAGCAATCAAGGAGAGTAGCTCCCAGCCACGGTTGGTGGCAACCCCAGGGCCCGCTGTGGGGGATGCTGTGGGTCCACTCCCTGCCACCTGCTTCCTGCCTGTGTAGCCACAAGGGAAATACCACCTTCTGAGAAGGGGGAGCCTGTCACCCAGATAAGCAGGTTTTGTGGGCCGCTTCCACAGGAAAACATGCTTTCTAAGAAGCCAGTCTCCTTCCTCTCGTTGTTTTCCTGGCAAGCAGAAGCAGCGTGAACACCTGCAGATCGCAGCGAGATGAGGTGGATTAAAGTAAACTCTCCTTACTGTTAAAACGCCCAGCATCCCCTCAAATGCTGGGGGTGGCTTCCCAAATATAATCTTTTTAGAGAAAAAAAAATGCCCACATCTACCACTGTTTGCAAGCAATTCAGACAACTTAGGTGTGTCTTCTCCCTGTTGCGGGCAATGAAAAAGAGGCTGCTGACATCTGTTTCCTTTAAGAAACTTGTAAAAAAATCCTCATGCAGATGCGCACGGTTGCTTGGCTATGAGCAAAGCAGCATGCCGTTCCTGACCATCCATGGGCCCCTCCTAACCTGAGCACTTGCTGGGGCCAGAAGACCCCTGCCCCAGGAGCTGGCAAGGGGGTACATGGTTCGAGGGTGGGTTTCTAGCTCCTAGGGTGGACCTTTGACCCAACCAACTCCTAATCAGCAAAAGCCAAACGAGACAAAACCACTGTGGGGAAACTTCTCCCTTTTTAAGCCCCAGCTTGTATAAATTAATTCTTTGTATACAACCATGAAAGGAGATCTGAGGTGAAACACAAGTCACCCCAATGGTGTAATGAACTTTCTGAAGCTTAAAAAAAGTCATCAAAACACGGAGGCAGTTGGGTGAGACATTTCCTCCAATGCAAAATCAGTTTCTACATCAATGATTCTCAGAATGGGGTAAGGTGGCAGGGGAGAGAGTATAATGAGTTTAGTGGCTTTTTCAAACTACCTGTGTGCCACTCCCATCCTCAATTCTAGAGATTCTGGCACACGCCCCAGGAAGCCTCTCCTGACCGAGAACTCCCGTCATGGTGAGTTCTTCTTACTCAGTGGTTCTTAAAGATGAGCTTGCACCAGAAGCACCTGCAGGGCCCGGTAAAGCCCAAACCGCTTGTTCCCACCCCCAGTTTCTGATTCAGTAATCCTGGGGTGGGGTCCAGAATTTGCATTTCTAACAAGTTCCTAGGCGATGCTGTTGCTGGTACCAGGGACTGCACCAAAAATCCTCCAGGTGTTTTGAGGCAGAAGATAATTAAGAACAACTGGGTTGAAAAGAAATTATTTGCTGTGTATTGCAAAAGAACAAAATCAAACCTCTTTGTAGCACCTCTTGATGCTGATGGCATGGCGGTACACTGAAGTATTGTGGGGGAAATGGCTGAGACCCCAAGGCTAGAGATAAACACATGACCCAGATTGTAGCTCCATCCCCCCCACTTGCAGATCTCGGACAGGCCAGAGAGTCCCCGCTGTGAGATAAAGTTTGGGGTTGTCAGCTGCTCATTTAGCTAGAGCACCGATGAAAGGAGAATAGGGCATGGATTCCATCTCCACATGGGTCAGGAAGCTTGTCCTGTCCTGTGGCTGTGGGCAGTGGCTTATCAGGGGTCGATCCTCAGGCCACTGAGCAGAAGAATGCAAGGGCAGCCACCCCTCACCAATGAGGCTACTCAGTGCCCACGCTCGACCCACCCCAGCTATGGCAGAAACTTTCCACCCAGAAGGAAAGGCCCCATTATTAGAATTCAGAAGGGACTTTGTGGCAACCAAACTTACAGCGTATATGCCAACGTCATGCCACACCCCAAAGGTCAGTGATGGTGCCAGTCATGATCTAGAAAGAAACTGGGCCTGCGGTTCCAGGGAAGAAAACCCACAGTCTGGGAAAAGTAGAATTTGAGAATTAACTTTGATTTCCTATTAATTCTTATCCCACATGGGATTACACTGTCTGGTAATTATAAGTGTGGGGTGGGGAAATCGATTCCTGTACTTCCTCCATAGAAGGGAACTTGTTTGTCAGAACTTCCAGGGCCTAGCACAGCCCTGGAACACACTAGGTCCTCAGTTAATGATAAATCTTTTACAGTCAGTGCCTCCCAGAGGGGAGAAAATACCATCAAAAGTCAGGACTTTGGGAGCCTGGGAACCTAGTGTTCATCTTAGAGAAGCTCAATGCCGTCTAGCACGGAATTCTGCAGCCGTGGAGCAAAGATTCCTTCCCCTAATTCTGTTGGCTTGCCTGGCTCTGCTCCTGAATATTTAATTGGAGTAATTAAGCCTATCACCAACAGGCTGTCAGTCCCAGCATTCAAAAACTCTCCTGTTGTTCTTCCAAAGAGTTAATGATCTTCAGGCCTTGAAAAGATCCTGCATTTTTGGCTGGTTATCAAAATCAACTAGAGAAGAGCTGATTTCAGGATGCTGACAGCCTTGCTCTCTTGCTCTGTGGTGGGGGCTGTGCTGGGCTAGGGGAAGAGGACTTGCATTCATACCCACAGACATTCCCACACACACACACATACGTGCACATCAACACCAACACCAAAACTTAGGTGTTCACTGATTTCATGAGGCGATTCATTTTCTGCTGGGTGGGGTGGGGTAGTGGTGTGGTGCAGCGTTAATGATTCCTGAGACATGTCCTGTCTTGTATGTTTATACCTCTGCAGTTAGCCTTTCTTCTTTTTTGCCCCCGATCCTACTCAAAGTACCCTTAAGTATGGAATGCATGATGAACAGGCCAGATGATTCTATCAGTTCTCTTGGAGTTTCCTATATTCTATTCTACCCCTCAAGATCACTTTCACTTCCCAGACTAGTCATTACGATGCCCTAAATGCTGGTTAAGGGTCATGACAAAAAAAAAAAAAATCCAGCTGAAAACTACTTGGCCATTTTGCATAAAACTGGGGTCAACCCACTGGTCTGTTGTATCACTTGACAGGAGCCCCTTAGGAAATCTCTTTTAGAGCTCAAAAGCCAGGTGAATTTTATCTCTCCTAAGAAATCCACTTACTTTTCCCTGTTTTATTTTTGTCTTGGCTGCCAAGAGCCTCAGAGTTAAATTTAATAACAGTTTTAGGTTTTGTATATTTACTTCCCTCCTTCTTCCTGTGGTCCTGAAAATAAGATAACTATTTTAA